>NC_000014.9:73399591-73551106 GCF_000001405.40 Homo sapiens | reverse complement strand
CTGTAACCTGTGCCTCCCAGGTTCAAGTGATTCTCCTGCCTCAGCCTCTCAACCTCCAAGTAGCTGGGACTACAGGCACATGCCACCACACTCGGCTAATTTTTGTATTTTTAGTACAGACGGTGTTTCACTATGTTGGCCAGGCTGGTCTCGAACTCCTGACCTCGTATCGGCCCGCCTCTGTCTCCCAAAGTGCTGGGACTATAGCCATGCCACCGCGCCCAGCAAAAACTGCATTCTTTAGTGAGTGAGTTCCTGTGGGGTCTTTCATTCAGGCTGGCATCAGCAGTTTCTTTGGCGGCTGATGTGACACCTCGGTTCTTGTCTTCTTGGTTTAAAAGAATTTAAACAAGAGACACACAGCAAAGAAGTGCAGCATAGAGTAATTTATTGCAAAGGAAGAAGAATATTTTGAAATTTACATGCAGAATGGACTGTATACTGTGAGAGAGAGGGTTCAAGGCAGGCTGCTCATAAGGGTGAGACAGCAGAGACTGGCAGTAGGGAGACTCCCTTTATGGGAGTCTTACATGATTATTCATAAGGTGGTGGGAAGAGGTGTTGCTAATAAGCATGTTCCGGGTGGTCTTCTGTGTGCACATGCACAGTAGCTGTACATGCTTGTTCATATGTCACATGTCTCATTAGCATATTACATCTCCATGTAGGGCTGTCTTCTACTATTATAATGAGCAAAATGTCAGTTTGAGGACAGGTAAAATCAAAATGCTCATGCTGTCTATGGGGGAAATTCCCTAATGAAGACAGCTTTGCTTGAATGAGCGCAATGACAATGCGAATGCTGAGGCTCACTGTGTTGACTGTATGGGTGCCATGGTCGCTGCATCCCGAGAACACGGTCACTCCCTTAGCTACCTATCCTGCCTCAGTTTCATTGCTATGCAGGACCTGAAAGAATATCTCAAATGGAAAAGTTAATGTTTTATAATGTTCCAGTTGTTATCTATGAGCAGTGAAGGGGAACTATGACCTTGTGACAGGGTCTATGAGACTCTGGAGCAACAGGCAGCAAACAACTCTGAGCAAGTGGGTCAGAGAGCAGCTGACCTCATGACCAATGCTGTGTGTGCTGCAAGCTGGGCTGATTTCCATTTCGCCCCTCCCTTCTCCCCTGATTAATTTTATAAAGTTGATAGGGAAGGTTTCAGTGGGATCTTGGCCACTCTCATAAAGGAGGCTGTTCTGAGGGGCTGGGAAGGAGGCCTCATGAGAGGAGGAAGGGCTCCCAGGGAAGGGCTTGGGCCAGGGTCCCTGATGTTGGGGTGGAGTGGAGGGCAATATTAGCTTCAGCATGTGCAAAGAAGGTGGCTTGGGGGTTCTGAGTGGTTGGGGTGCTACTGTGGGAGGGGGGTCACCTTCAGAGAAGGGGCAACAGGAGGTGGGAAGCCCTGGTAAAGATTCAATTCCCCAAGTGGCCCAGATGCTCTAAAAATGGCTTGCCTCAGGGACTGTCCACCACCAAAAAAATCTCAGCACTCTCTCTTGGTATTTAATCAGGTAAAGCCCCAGGATCTGAAGCCCCAGGTTCAGATCCTGCCTTGCCATTGGCTTGCAGGATCTATGACCTTGGCAAATGGCTTTGCCCCTTGCCTCAATTTCTTTTTCTGCAGAATGTGACAGGAATGTTCTCTACTTCCTGGGGGTGTTTAAAACATTAAATAATGATTAGCTCTAATAACTAATACATTGAAGCCTGAGGCCCAGGGCTCGATGCATGATTGTTAATTCCTCCCAACAAGATGGGATTGTTGTTATACCCATTGTATAGATGAGGAAATTGAGGCCTGACGCCCCTGAGATACACACACACACAGACACACACACACATCACGAGGCATTTGGGAAGTGACTGTCATGAGGGTGGAACCCTCATTAATGGGATTGGTGCCCTTATAAAACAGGTTGAAGAGAGCTGCCTTGCTCTTTCCACTAGGTAGGACACAAGATGGTGCTATCTATGAGGAACAGGCCCTCAGCAGACACCAGATCTGCTGGTGCCTTGATCTTGGATTTCCTAGCCTCCAAAACTGTGAGCAATACATTTCTGTTGTTTATAAATTACCCGGTATAAGACATTTTGTTACTGCAGTTGAACAGACTAAGACAAGTGTCCTCACCACCAGAAAAAAAAAAAAGAGAGAGAGAGAGAAAGATGTGAGGCGATGGATAGGTTAATTACCTGGAATTACCTGGTTAATTACCTGTGAATCCTTTCACAGTGTGTTAATATACACATATCAAAACACCATGTTGGGTTGGCACAGTGGTTCATGCCTATAATCCCAGCACTTTGAGAGGCCAAGGTGGGAGTGTAACTAAGCAGGTTAGCAGCTTAGCCTCAAACCTTAAGACTTTTTTTCCTTTCCCCTTTCTCCTCCCCCAGTGAGTCTCAAGATAGAACTCTGAGACCATCTGCATATGAGTTTCCTTTCATCTTGAAATACACCCTCAGAATGTGCTGAACCTCCACGCCCTTTCTTTTCCCATTCTGTGCTTCCGTGCCTTATGCACATGTATTTACCTAGATGCTTGTTAAGTACACACCATTACCTGGTCATATATTTCCTTCAGCTTCAGGGACTGGATCTGGATATGGACCAGACACCTCTAGCCACAATGATGGCACTGGCTCCTTCACCAGATGAAACAATACTTCAAAACAAGCCAGTGGAGCAGGTCACGCCACCCGACAACTCCTAGTTCCGCTGCCTCTTCTGCACTCCAAACTCTCTCTTCAAAAGCTCCTGGATTCCCTCCACAAATTGAAGAGTGGAAATATTTGCAAATAACTACACTCACTTCTCCCCTTGCTAGCATGGATAATAAAACTCACTCTCTTTATCACACCTCACTCTTATTATATTGGCTTCTTTTTACAAGTGGCTGGCAGCTGGACCCTTCTACTGATTACAGGAGGCTCACCTGAGGCCAGGAGTTCGAGACCAGCCTGGGCAACATAATAAGACCCTGTTTCTGCAAAAAATTAAAAATTAGCTGGGCATGGTGGCAAGTGCCTATAGTCTCAGCTACTCAGGAGGCTGAAGTGGGAGGATGGGTTGGGCCCCCAGGAGTTTGAGGCTACAATGAGCTATGATGGCACCACTGCACTCCAGCCTGGCCAGAGCCTGTCTCTTAAAACAAAAACAAAAACAACCCGCCACAACCATCTCTTTGTACACTTTATTTTTATTTTATTTTTTGAGACAGGGTCTCACTCTGTTGTCCAGGCTGGAGTGCAGTAACACAATCTTGGCTCACTGCAACCTCCGACTCCCAGGTTCAAGCGATTCACCCACCTCAGCCTGCCAAGTAGTTGGGAGTACAGGTGCACACCACCACCCCTGGCAAATTTTTATATTTTTTGGTAGAGATGGAGTTTTACCATGTTGGCTAGGCTGCTCTCGAACTCCTGACTTCAAGTGATCCACCCACCTTGGCCTCCCAAAGTGATGGGATTACAGGCGTGAGCTACTGTGCCTGGTCCATGTTATACACTTTAAATATGCTTTTAAAAACCATGCCGATTGGACTTGGGTATTGGTTAT
This sequence comes from Homo sapiens, assembly GCF_000001405.40. Classification (NCBI taxonomy): domain Eukaryota; kingdom Metazoa; phylum Chordata; class Mammalia; order Primates; family Hominidae; genus Homo; species Homo sapiens. The sequence continues at coordinate 73,547,540 of NC_000014.9, read as the reverse complement.
GTTGTGGTTCCCTTTAAAATTATTCATGATGGCCAGGTGCAGTGGTGATTGCCTGTAATCCCAGCACTTTGGGAGATGCCAAGGTGGGAAGATTGCCTGAGCCCAGGAGTTTAAGACCAGCATGGGCAACATAGGGAGACCCCATCTCTATTTTGTTTTTGAGACAGCGTTTTGCCCTTTTGCCCAGGCTGGCGTGCAGTGGCACGATCTTGGCTCTCTGCAACCTCCGCCTTCCGGTTTCAAGTGATTCTCCTGCCACAGCCTCCGGAGTAGCTGGGATTACAGGCGCCCAGCACCACGCCCGGCTAATACTTGTATTTTCAGTAGAGATGGCGTTTTACCATGTTGGCCTGGCTGGTCTCAAGCTCCTGACCTCATGATCCACTCACCTCGGCCTCTCAAAGGGCTGGGATTACAGGCGTAAGCCACCGCACCGGGTCTTTTTTCTTTTTTTGAGACGGAGTTTTGCTCTTGTTGCCTAGGCTGGAGTACAGTGGCGTGATCTTGGCTCACTGTAACCTCCGCCTCCTTGTTCAAGCTATTCTCCTGTCTCAGCCTCCCAAGTAGCTGGGATTACAGGCACATGCCACCACACCTGGCTAATTTTTGTATTTTTAGTAGAGACAGGGTTTCATCATATTGGTCAGGCTGGTCTAGAACTCCTGACCTCAGGTGATCTGCCCGCCTCGGCCTCCCAAAGTGCTGGGATTACAGGCATAAGCCACTGCACCCAACCTCTGTTTTCAAATAAATAAGTGAATCATTATGGAGCATGTTAGTTTAATGAACTTTTCTGTGTATTTCACAGTGTTCACAGTGTGCATGGGTTGAAAGTGAAAAGAAAAATGTCTTTCAAATAACTAATAAAGACTAACTAGGCTGGGCCCGGTTGCTCATGCCTATAATCCAAGCAGTTTGGTAGGCCAAGATGGACAGACTGCTTGAGCCCAGGAGTTTTGAGACCAGCCTGGACAACATGGTGAAACCTTGTCTCTGCAAAAATACAAAAATTAGCTGTCCATGGTGACATGTGTCTGCAGTCCCAGCTACTCAGGGGGCTGAGGTGGGAGGATCACTTGAGCCTTGGAGATCAAGACTGTAGTGAGCTGAGATCATGTTACTGCCACTGCACTCTAGCCTGGGTGAGAGTTAGATCTCGTCTCAAAAAAAAAAAAAAAATACGAAATGTCAAGAGGCTGATAGGTAATCTGAACCCTTGTGGTGCTTTTTAAAATTTTTCATGTTATTAAAACATTTTTTTGCCAAGTGCGGTGGCTCACGCCTATAATCCTGGCACTTTGGGAGGCCAAGCCGGGTGTATCACCTGAGGTCAGGAGTTCGAGACCAGCTGACCAACATGGCAAAACCCCATCTCTACTAAAAATACAAAATTTAGCTGGGTGTGGTGGTGGGCGCCTGTAATCCCAGCTACTTGGGAGGCTGAGGCAGGAGAATCACGTGAACCCAGGAGGCGGAGGTTGCAGTGAGCCGAGATCAAGCCATTGTACTCTAGCCTGGGCAACAGAGCGAGACTGTCTCAAAAAAAAATTGTTTTTATAAGATGGTGTCCCACTATGTTACCCAGGCTGGCTTGAACTCCTGGGCTTAAGCAATACTACTACTGCCTCAGCCTCCAAGTAGCTGGGATTACAGGCATGTACTTCTACAACCACCGGCTCATCTGTGGTGCTTTTGAATCTAATATTCACCAGCCTGAATTTCTAAGAATGGAGAATAGGGTCCCTAAGGTCTCAAAAGGGCTTCAGCAGACTCAAGTTTGGGATCTAGCATCTACTAAAACAAGTTTTAACTATTGCACTTTTCTAAGAGAGTCATATACTATATAATTGCAAGGGAAAAGATAAAACAATATGACTTGAAATTTTGTGTTGTGGCCTGGCATCTTGGGGTGGGACTTGGCCAGGCCAGCTATGAGCAACTGTCCCAGATTGCATCATCTCTAAGAGTTTTCAGAGCCTCAGGTCATGTGTACTCTAAATGGGGCTCCATGCCCAGCACTGGCATTCTTGTGGAAGTTTGGAGACATGGCACCAGCTGCATTCCTGGGTTGCAGAGTAACACAGGAGGTAGCTTCATCTCAGGGTATCATCTCTCTACTGTAGATCTGGTTATATTCTACTGCTACAAAACCATGAATTCCTTTAGAAAAAAGGTGCCGGAAGCTGGCAGCGGTGGCTCACACCTGTAATTTCAGCACTTTGGGAGGCTGAGGCAGGAGGATTGTTTGAGCTCAGTAATTCAGGACTAGCCTGGGCAACATTGGGAGACCCCATCTGTACAAAAAATTAAAAATTAGCCAGGCATGGTGGTGTGTGCCTGTGTGGTCTCAGCTGCTAGGGAGGCCGAGGTGGGAGAATAGCTTAAACCTACGAGGTTGAGGCTGCAGTGAGCCGTGACTGTGCCACTGCACTCCAGCCTGGGCAACAGAATGAGACCCTGCCTCCAAAAAAAAAAAAGGAAAGAAAATAATAATAAATTAAGGTTTTTTTTTTCTTTTAAATACAACTAAGGTTTAAGAAAAAATCAAGTTTATTGTGTAACTATTTATATCAAGTGATATAAATATTGTCTTTCTTTTTCTTTATTTTTTTTTTGAGACAGTATCCTGCTGTCACCCAGGCTAGAGCGCAGTAGCACAATCTCGGCTCACTGCAACCTCTGCCTCCAGGGCTCAAGCAGTTCTCCCACCTCAGCCTCCCCAGTAGCTGGGACTACAGGCATCCGCCACAATGTCTGGTATTTGTTTGTAGAGACGGGGTTTTGCCATGTTGCCCAGGCTTGTCTTGAACTCCTGGGTTCAAGCAATCCACCAGCGTTGGCCTCCCAAAGTGCTGGCATTACAAGTGTGAGCCACCATGCCAAGCCTAAATTGTTATTGAATTTCACATTTGTCATTGTTAAAATCGCTTATGTAATTCATCTCAATAATGTTTTATCAGCTTTTGAAACAATTAAATCCTAAAGGTCCATATGTATAAACAGGAACATAAAATTTATTTGCACTAGGAGAATCCTTATTAATCCAAGGAGAAGATATCAAAGAACTAAATATGTATTGGTTTTGAAAAGTTTTAGTAGTTTTATATCTAACTAGTAATCAGTTTATAGGCAAGATGTTAACTTCCATTCTTAAAGGAGAAACTCAAATCTGATATACTTTTTATATTATGTGCTTTTCTTCCACAGTAGGTAATCATTTATTTATTTAATTAATTTATTTATTTTTGAGGCATAGTCTTGCTGTGTTACCCAGGCTGGAGGGCAGTAGTGCAATCTCAGCTCATTGCAACCTCTGCCTCCCGGGTTCAAGCAATTCTCCTGCGTCAGCCTCCTGAGTAGCTGGGACTACAGGCATGCGCCACCACGCCCGGCTAATTTTTTGTATTTTTAGTAGAGATGGGGTTTCACCATGTTGGCCAGGCTGGTCTCAAACTCCTGACCTCAAGTAATCCGCGCACCTTGGCCTCCCAAAGTGCTAGGATTACAGGTGTGAGCCACCACGCCTGGCTCACTTATACTCATTCAGCAAATAATTATTGAACTCCATTTACGTACCAGACACTGTTAATTGATGTTACTCACTTTTCCTTTCAGAACTAAAGCCTTATCAGTTGTGTGTTGAGATAGGAAGAGGAGACTTTTTCCACTTCTTGTGTTTCCTACAGTTACTCCCTTCCCAAACTGATAAAGTATACAGTTTATAAAAATCTTAAAAACTCATTCTTACTGGTAAATTCATTTTAATAATGAGGGGAAGAAACTTTAAGAAGTTATGAGAAAGAATGAATACACATACACACACTAAATGTGGCAGATGTTTCCAGGAGAGATTAGCAACAGAGAGGCCACATGATCAAATAAAATTTACACTTTTGATGGGATTGTCCCCTCGTGGCCACCCAAGTGTTTGTGGAAGAAAGTCTGGAGTTGTTTCCAAGCATCCACCTGAGCCATGGCATGAGCCCTGGGCTCCCCTCCCCAGATAATAGGACTGCCCACCAAGGCATGCAGGGAAGCCCGACACAGGGGGAAGTAAGGAGGCTCAATATAGTGCCCTGTCTCTGGGTAACAGATGATCTGGGGCTTTCTCCTCCCATGGGCCTGCAAGCGTTTACAGGCCTCATTAGCATAGAACTCACTCTTCCAGTTGTGGTCATCCTGACCTACCAGGAACAGGAAGGTGCTCTCTGCCCTTTCCACAGGAATGAAGCTCTTCTGGTCAGGTCCTTCCAAAGGGCTGTTCAGGACATCCACAATGTCTGCATAGCCATCTTTGGTCACCTTGATGCGATTTCTGTTGACGCCCACAGGGGGCAGGGTCTCGCCCTTGTAGCGTAAGGTTCCCCCAACATTGGCCACAGAGCCGTTGATGACGACAGCAGCCGTGATGCCCTTCAGGAAAGAGGCCATGGAAAGGCAGAGCTCACCCCCTTTGGAAATTCCAAGCAGCCCAACTCCTGGACCTTTTACCTGAGAAAGGGACAAAGGAAAAAGAAGAAGAATGGCTCCACAAACAGTGGAATATGGTGAGTTGTGCCCACCCTGGAAGTTAGTTGAACCTGAGTCTGAATCTGGGTTCTACCATTTACCCAGATTTGCAGCTTTGGGAATTTACCTCCCCTCTATCTCTTCCTTTCCACAATTTGTCCATCACCACTCTTGGTGATAACCATGTGGAAGATCTATCAATTACTCTGGTTTCTCAGTTCCTTAATCTCATTATCTCCCATGATCTTTTTCTGTCTCCCACCTGAGCCACCCATTCCCACTGTCATAACTAAACTGAGTCGTCATCAACAAGTACGTCATCTCATGGCCGGGCGTGGTGGCTGACGCCTGTAATCCCAACAGTTTGGGAGGCTGAGGCGGGTGGATCATTTGAGGTCAGGAGTTCGAGACCAGCCTGGCCAATATGGTGAAACCCTGTCTCTACTAAAAATACAAAAATTAGCCAGGCAGAAGTGGCATGCGCCTGTAGTCCCAGCTACTCAGGAGGCCGAGGCAGGAGAATCGCTTGAACCTGGGAGGTGGAGGTTGCAGTAAGCCGAGATCATGCCACTGCACTCCAGCCTCGTTGACACGGCAAGACTCCGTCTTAAAAAAAAAAAAAAAAAAAGAAAGAAAAAACATACTGGAATTTAAAATTGCATAATACCAACTACAAATATCTTTACTAGCAGGAAATATAGTAATATAGAATTGAATAGAAACTGTCTATAAGAGGCCAGGTGTGGTGGCTCATGCCTGTAATTCCAGCACTCTGGGAGGCCGAGGTGGGCAGATCACTTGAGGTCAGGAGTTTGAGACCAGCCTGGCCAACATGGCGAAACCCCATCTCTACTAAAAAAAAAAAATACAAAAATTAGGCTAGGCATAGTGGCTCATGCCTGTAATCCAGCACCTGGGGAGGCCAAGGCAGGTGGATCATTTGAGGTCAGGAATTCAAGACCAGCCTGACAAATATTGTGAAACCCCGTCTCTACTGAAAATACAAAAATTATCCAGGCATGTTGGCAGGTGCCTGTAATCCCAGCTACTTGGGAGGCTGGGGCACAAGAATCACTTGAACTTGGGAGGTGGAGGTTGCAGTGAGCCAAGATCGCACCACTGGACTCCAGCCTGGCAACAGAGTGAGACTCCATCTCAAAAAAAGAAAGAAGAAGAAGAAGAAAGAAAGAAACTGTCTATAAGAAGTGACTAAAAAAGGTAGTGTGTGTTGGGGTAGGGAATGGCTGTCATGAATGAGCTAACTTCTGTGAAAACCCAGACCATTTAAGAAGAGACCTGATACATCATAGCCCATAAATCTGAGAGAAGAACTCACCTCAGGATGACTGAGCAAGTAGTTCACAGCTTCTTCAAAGTACTCCAGATGGAGCGTCTCCATGGTCTTGGGGAGGTCTTCATAGTTATAGTAAGCCAGAGCCATCACAGCAAAACCCTTCCCAGCCAGCAGACTAGCCCGATACTCCAGCAGGCCACCTCCAGTTCCGAACATGTCCACAATGCCAGGAAAGGGCCCAGGTTCTTGGGAAGAAACAAAACAAAATGCAAAACTAAGCTATTCCTGAAACAGTTGGATGGTTTCTTACCAAGTTAAACATATACTTACCACACATGTGACCCAGCAATCCCACTCCTAGGTATCTACCCACGAGAAATGAAAACCTGTGTTCGTCCAGAAACTTCTGGCAAGTGTTTATAGTGACTTTATTCATTGTAGCCAAAGACTGGAAACAACCCAAATGTCCTTTAACTGGTGAATGAATCCATTTAATGGTGCACCACCAAGAAACAAAAAGAAAGACTGCTACATAGAAGAGCACAAATTCCTCTCCAGTGCACTCAACAGAATGCACTTATTCAATGGAGACAGACTCAAAAGGCTACTCATTCTGAATGACTCCACTTACTGAATATTTTTATCATTTACATTAAAGGTTTTGTGTTTCACACAAAATTAAAGAATAATAATGCAGGCTGGGTCTGGTGGCTCACGCCTGTAATCCCAGCACTTTGGGAGGCTGAGACGGGTGGATCACCTGAGGTCAGGAGTTCGAGACCAGCCTGGCCAACATGGTGAAACCCCATCTGTACTAAAAATACAAAAATTAGCTGGGTGTGGTGGCGGCCACCTGTAATCCCAGCTACTCGGGAGGCTGAGGGAGGAGAATCGCTTGAACCCGGGAGTTGGAGGTTGCAGTGAGCCAAGATTGTGCCACTACTCCAGCCTGGGCGAAAGAGCGAGACACTGTCTCAAAAAAAAAAAAAAAAAAAGAATGCAAACACCTTACAGGCAACACTTTTAAGACATAGTTCAGTGCTGATACCCGCAAACCATCAACGTCCCACAGACCCCTGTGCCCTTTCCTCTCTTTCCAGTATCCTGGACTTTCTGTGTATCACTCTTGGTTTTCTTCATAGTATTACCACTTAGATTATGTACCTTAAACAATATTTTATTTTGCCTATTTTTTGAACTGTATCTAAATGGAATGATACTGAATGTGTTCTCCTAGTGTTTGACTGTTTCACTCAACAGTGGTTTGGAGATTCATCCATGTTGATTCTTTTTTATTTTTTTCTTTTCTTTTGTATATCTTGATAGATGTTGATTCTTCTAGCTGTAGTTCAATCACTTTGACTGCTGGAAATATACCTCAATTTATTAATCTGTTCTATTGTTGATGGACATTTGGACTGTTTCCAGTTGACTTTGCTCTTTTTTTAAATTAATCCAGACTGCTCATCTGCAATGGCTTTCCTCTTATAAGGAATATGCCTCCTGGTGCACATGTACAAGTAGAATAACATATTTAACTTTGTAAGTTAAGACAAATTGTTGCCCAGAGCAGATGAATATGTTGACTCCTTCTAGCAGTGAGTTTCATTTCCTCCACATACTGGTCAGCAATTGATAATGCTAGCTTCTAAAAGTGGGCCACTTCTGAGGGTGTGAAATGTACTCTGTTGTTTTATTTTGCATTTCTTTGATTATTAATAAGGATAAGCATCATTTCTACACTGGCTGATTGCTCTTTATGTAATATAAAAGTATCCAGTAACCTCAAATTTCCATTTGACAGGAAGAGGCTTTCCTATTGTAAATGCTAATTTACATAAACCTTAACATACTGTGTGAATTGAAAGAAAAGTTGCAAAAATGAGAAACTTTTAAAGAACATTTCTGGGCCCCATACCCCTAGGATCCCGAGAAACCCCAGTGCCCCGGCAGCGATGAGCACAGCCCACGCGTGTGCTGATGGACAGGGACCGCGTGCTGGCAGCTTCCAGACGGCATCCTGTGGGGCTTCAGCCGCCGCTTCTCAGGGAGCTGCATGTGACACTGCAGCAGCACCGCAGCTTCCTGGTCTGGAAGCAGTACCTCACCCTGCTGCCGGACCTGGTGGATAAAGTGGCCCATGGGTGTGAAGCCCTAGGCTTTTCCCTAGTCTTGAAGCCCAACCCCAGAGGGCCTTGCAAGAGATGAAGCACATGCAAAACACCGAGGTCTTCACACTGCACCAGCCCCTGCCAAAGTATGACCACTGTGTGGGTGAGAAGCACCGCTGGGTAGAGCAGCACCTGGAGTCCCAGCTTGTGGAGTGAATTATCCTGACAATGGACAAGACCGTGGTCTTTGGGGACTTGCTCACTGATGACAAGGATACCATTCGAGGCCAAGAGGAGAGGCCACAATCAGTACCTGGTCCTGCCATGCACAGGGAGGTGGCTGCTCTCCTGGAATGGTAACAGGACGGAGATCATAGCCAGCCAGCAGGGAGCTAGGCAGCAGGAACGAACAGGCCCTGCAGGGGGCAGCAGCTGCAGCTGGAGCAATGGTGGGCGGGCAGGCACCAAAACCTCTGCACTGTCACAGGCCCAGCCACCTGGCACCTCCTAGCTGCCATGGAAATACAGTGAGAAAACCAGTTGGAATTCTTTTTATTAAAAAAAAAAGTGACTTCCTGGTCCATACATAAATAAGAACATTGAAACTACTTGAAAATTTTTTGTTGTTGTTGTTTGTTTTTTGTTTTTGTTTTTGTTTTAGATGGAGTTTCACTCTTGTCCCCCAGGCTGGAGTACAATGGCGTGATCTCGGCTCACTGCAACCTCTGCCTCCAGGGTTCCAGCGATTCTCCTGCCTCAGACTCCCGAGTAGGTGGGACTACAGGTGTGCACCACCTCACCTGGCTAATTTTTGTATTTTTAGTAGAGACGGGGTTTCACCATGTTGGCCAGGCTGGTCTCGAACTCTTGATCCGCCTGCCTCGGCCTCCCAAAGTGCTAGGATTACAGGTGTTAGCCACCGCGTCCGGCCTGTTTTTTTTGTTTTGTTTTGTTTGTTTTTAATATTATGTGTCTTTTCTCTTTCCTTACAATGCCTTTTTTTTTTTTTTTTTTTGAGACGGAGTCTCACTCTATTGCCCAGGCTGGAGTGCGTGGCACGATCTTGGCTCACTGCAAACTCCGCCTCCTGGGTTCATGCCATTCTTCTGCCTCAGCGTCCCGAGTAGCTGGGACGACAGGCGCCCGCTACCACGCCCGGCTAATTTTTTGTATTTTTAGTAGAGACGAGTTTTCACCGTGTTAGCCAGGATGGCCTTGATCTCCTGACGTCGTGATCCGCCCGCCTCGGCTTCTCAAAGTGCTGGGATTACAGGCGTGAGCCAGCGCGCCCAGCCCTTACAATGTCTTTTAACTGAGCACTAGGTTTGAGGGACCTCTCAGTTTTGGAGCGGCAGGGGCAATTCCCCAACCAACTTTCCATTCCATTCCTGTCTCCTTACACTAACCTCCGGAATGTTGGAAGCTACATCCTTTCTCCGTATGAAAAGCGCAGGGACGAAAAAAAATAAAAATAAAAAAATAAGTGTAACTCCCCTCAAAGGGCCGGGCGCAGTGGCTCACCCTGCAATCCTAGCTCTTGGGGAGGCAGAGGCGGGAGGATAGCTTGGGTCCAGGAGTTCAAGACCTACCTGGGCAACATAGCCCGGGGTGGTGGTGGTGGGGCGGGAGGAGGGACACACACACAAGCGAAAAGAGCGGGGCGGGGCGAAGGGGACACACACACACACACAGTGGAAAGCGCAGGAACAGGGATGGGCAGAGGGGAACAATTAGCGGAGGTGAGTCACCTGGCGGCAGGAAGAGCGTGCCTCGCACCCGGCCCGCGCGCACCGGCTCGCGCCGCACCCCGGGCGGGAGGAAGTAGCGCTCGTGCCGCACCCGGCACAGCAGCCGCCCGGGGTCGGGGTCGTGGCCATCCAGCACCTCCAGCTCCACGGCCAAGGGCGTTCGCACGTCGCGCTTCACCAGCCGCACCAAGGGTTTCTCGGGCTCCAAGGCCCAGAGCAGCCCCATGGGCTCAAGCCCCGCGAAGCTGCCGCCCAGCGCGGGCGCGCGCTCCAGGTCCAGCTCGCCAAGGGTGTCGGCGCGGTAGCGCGCGTGGGCCTGGAAAAGCGCGCCCTTCTCGTCGCGCAGGGACGCGCGCAGCGTGACCGGCTGCTCCGGGGCTAGGCCGCGCACGGCGATTCGCACCGGTTCGTCCCAGCAGCAGCGGCCCGCGGGCTCCAGGATCAGCGTCGCCGCCATCCGAGCAGGAACCCAAATAATCCGGCCAAACTGCCTCAGCTGTGGAGACCCCTGCAACTCTGCCCAACTCTTCCTCTCGGGCTGCCGTCGCAGGCTAAACGCCCACTAGGGCAGAGCTGTCTGCTAATGTGAGCGGGGAAGGCCAGAGTCCAGCCGATCAGCCAGACCAAATATAGACACACTGGAACTTGCTTAAAGTCTCCTGTGTTGAAACCTCCACTTTATGTTGGAAAGCAACTTCCTAGGTTTGCTTTTCAGAAGCTTGCTGGCTCGCGGAATGGGCTGGGCCAGGACTGGTTCGTCCCGGCTACTCGGGAGGCTGAGGCAGGAGAATGGCGTGATCCCGGGGGGTGGAGCTTGCAGTTGGCCAAGATCATGCCACTGCACTACAGCCTGGGCGACAGAGCGAAAGTCCGTCTCAGAAAAAAAAAAAAACAACAACAACCAGGCAGCTAGCAGTCTCCAGGCTCCAAACTCCTGATGGCGAAGAGGAATGCAGGACTGGAGTTGGTTTTGATCACTTTGTTGAATAATTCACACTCATTACTAATCTTAGGGCTTTTCTTTCAAAATCTGCACCATGGTGTTTTGCTTTCGTGTTCTCTGTATATGCCTATCCTCCACATCACTCCCACATCGAAGGGTGCTGGCTTCTTACTAGCTGTGTGACCTCTGAGCTTTATTCCTTACAGGTGTAAAAATAGCCAAATGAGGTAATAGTTATTAATTTCTCGAACTCCTGACTTTGTGATCCGCCCGCCTCGGCCTCCCAAAGTGCTGGGATTTACAGGCGATGAGCCACCGCGCCCGGCCAATAGTTATTATTTTCTTATACTGGTTTCTCATTTTTGTCCCAGTCAGGCAAGTGTTACCTCTCATCTTTTTTTTTTTTTTTTTTTTTTTTTAAAGAGACAGGGTCTCACTACGTTGCCAGTCTGGAGTACAGCGGCGGTTTACCATCACTGCGCACTTACAAGCCTCAAACTCCTGGGCTAAAGCCATCTTCCTGCCTCAGCCTCTCAAACACCTCAAGGGACTACCGGCGCTCCCCATGCATTGGGCTTTTTTCTACTTTTTCATAGGCTATTGGTTCCAACCAGAGGTGGTTTTTTTTTTTCATCAAACTTAAGCTTTAGGCCCCTCCCAAGCCCTTGTACCTGATTTCATAATTTCCTATCTTGGTAATTAGAGAAACCTATAAATGCGTAAGCTTCAAACTCACAAAACCTGTGTTTGCCTCTGCTCCTAATAAGGCTGTCCTCAAGGTAAGCCTTTTTATCTCTTTCCAAATGCTCTCATGTCCCATGTCCCATGTCATTATCATACAACTCCCTGTTAGTTGTAATTACCTTTGTATAGGTTCTGTGGCACACATCAAGTATATTCTGTGCATAGAAGTCTCAGGAACTAAAGAAGGTAAATAATAGTAGCTAATTGTTAATACTTACAAGAACCGTAGTAGTAAATTAAGGCCCAGAGAATTTAACTGATTTTCTGAAGATCATACAGCTGGGAAGTGGAAGTTGGGTGAGGTGGCTCACGCCTATAATCCCAGTTTACTTGGAGGCTGAGGTGGCAGGGTTTCTTAAGGCCAGGAGTTTCAGACCAACCTGGATAAGACCCTGTCTCTAACAAGAAAAAGGGGCCAGGCGCGGTGGCTCGCGCCTGTAATCCCAGCACTTTGGGAGGCCGAGGCGGGTGGATCACGAGGTCAGCAGATCGACACCATCCTGGCTAACACAGTGAAACTCCGTCTCTACTAAAAAAAAACCAAAAATACAAAAAATTCGCCGGGCGTGGTGGCAGGCGCCTGTAGTCCCAGCTACTCGGGAGGCTGGGGCAGGAGAATGGCGTGAACCCTGGAGGCAGTGCTTGCAGTGAGCCAAGATGGCGCCACTGCACTCCAGCCTGGGCAAAAAAAAAAAAAAAAAAAAAAAAAAAAAAAAAAAAAAGAAAGAAGAAAAAGAAAAGAAAAAGGGAGAGGGTTCATATGTTTGAAATCTGATTCTCAAGGCTGGGCTCTGAACAACTATGTTTAACTGTCTCTCACAGGATGTTGAAGAAGATTTGGAAAAGAAACTCATATTGGTGGATATATAAACTGGTATGACCTTTTCATGGCAATCTATGCAAAAATATTTAAAAGATCCCTTCTCTTTGACTCACAGTTCCACGTCTAGGAATTTGTTTTAAGTATAACTTCATAAATATGTGTAAATATTTGGCTACAAGGATGCTAATCATATCATTTTAATAGAGAAAAAATTAGAAACAAGTTAGCAATATAAATTTGGTTTTACCAGTTTAATTGTGATGTCATAAATGAAAGCAGTTTAGTTATAAAGCAGAAGAATATATGATGAGCATTCTTCCATGAAACTGATGAAAAAAAGCAGGTTAGAGAACAGTATAAATATACTTTTTACCAAGATATTAACATATTTTTTAAAAAGACTAGTCAAACACTCCCCCAGTAGCTGAATGCAGTGGTAGATGCCTGTAGTTCCAGCTGTTAGGGGGGAGGCCTAGGCAGGAGATTGCTTGAGCCCAGGAGGAATTCGATACCAGCTTGGGCAACAGAGCAAGACCTCATCCCTTAAAAAAAAAAAAAAAAGCAGAAAAGATAAGACATGAAAATTAAAAAAAACACACATCTAACTATTTCAAACTGTTGTTTCTTGAGCCTTGAGGTTTTATGCATAGTATTTGTTTATTTGCTTGTTTGTTTTTTAAGACGGGGTGTCTCACTGTGTTACCCAGGCTGGAGTGCAGTGGTGCGATCATAGCTCACTGCAGCCTCAACCTCCCAGGCTTAGACAGTTCTCCCACCTCAGCCTCCCGAGCACCTGGGACCACAGGCATGCACCACCACACCTGGCTAACTTTTTAGATTATTTGTACAGATGGGGTCTCCCTATGTTGCCTGGTCTCGAACTCCTGGGCTTAAGCAATCCTCCCACCTTGGCCTCCCTGAGTGTTGGGATTATAGGCAAGAGCCACTACACTCGGCCATGTTTCTTTTTTTAATTCTTTTTTTTTTTTCAAGACAGAGTCTTGCTCTGTCGCCCAGGCTGGAGTGCAGTGGTCTGATCTCGGCTCACTGCAACTTCTGGCTCCCGGGTTCCAGTGATTCACCTGCCTCAGCCTCTTGAGTAGCTGGGATTACAGTCACATGCCACCACGGCCAGCTGATTTTTGTATTTTTAGTAAAGACGAGGTTTCACCATGTTGGCCAGGCTGGTCTCAAACTCCTGACCTTGTAATCTGCCTGCTTCAGCCTCCCAAAGTGCTGGGACTAGAGGCATGAGCCACCGTGTCTGGCCTTAACTCTTATTTTTTAGAGACTAGGTCTTGCTCTGTCACCCAGGCTGGAGTGCAATGGCACCATGATGGTTCATTGCAGCCTTGAACTCCTGGGTTCAAAGGATCCTCCCACCTCCTCTTCCCAAACAAGTGACCCTACCACCTCATCTTCCCAAAGTGCTGGGATTGTAGGCATGCATGGCCTCATTTTAACCTTTTTTTTTTTTTTTTTTTTTTAGAGACAGGGTCTTGCTATGTTGCCCAGACTGGTCTCGAACTCTGGCCTCAAGTGATCATCCTGCCTTGGCCTCTCAAAGCGCTAGAATTACACGCATGAGCTGCTGGAACAAGCCCATTTTAACCATTTTTAAGTGTACAAGTCAGTGACATTAAGTACATTACATTGTTGTACAACTATCACCATTATCCATTTCCAGAACTTTTGGAGTCTTGCTCTGTCCCCCCAGGCTGGAGTGCAGTGGCGCGGTCTCAGCTCACTGAAACCTCCGTCTCCTGGGATCAAGTGATTCTCCTGCCTCAGCCTCCCAGGTAGCTGGGACTACAGGCGCGTACCAGGACACCCAGCTAATTTTTGTATTTTTAGTAGAGATGGGGTTCCACCATGTTGACCAGGCTGGTCTTGAACTTCTGACCTCAGGTGATCTACCCTCCTCGGCCTCCCAAAGTGCTGGGATTACAGGCCTGAGCCACCACGCCTGGCCCATTTCATTCCTTTTTAAGGCTGAATAACATTCTGTTGTATGTATCTTCCACATTTTGTTTATCCATTCATTCACTGATGGACATTTGGGTTCTTTCCACCGTTTGGCTATTGTGAGTATGCTGCTATGAACATGGGTATACAAATATCTGTTAAAGTCCCTGCTTTCAATTCTTTTGGATATGTACCCAGAAGTAGAATTGCTGGATCACATAGTAATTCTATATTTAATTTTTTGAGGAACCTTCAACAGGGTTTTGATTTATTTTATTAGAAACAGGGTCTCCCTCTGTCACTGAGGCTGGGTTGCAGTAGTGCCATCATAGCTCACTGCAGCCTCAAACTCCTGGGCTCAAAGGATCCTCCTGCCTTAGCAGGGTTATAATATTTAATTTTTTTAGTCTTTACTTTTCTTTTCTTTTTATTTATTTATTTATTTTTTTGAGATGGAGTCTTGCTCTGTCACCCAGGCTGGAGTGCAGTGGCCCAATCTTGGCTCACTGAAAGCTCCACCACCTGGGTTCACGCCATTCTCCTGCCTCAGCCTCCAAGTAGCTGGGACTACAGGTGCCCACCACCACACCCGGCTAATTTTTTTGTATGTTTTAGTAGAGATGGGGTTTTACTGTGTTAGCTAGGATGGTTTCAATCTCCTGACCTTGTGATCTGCCCACCTTGGCCTCCCAAAGTGCTAGGATTATGAGCGTGAGCCACTGCACCCGGCCTAGTCTTTACTTTTCATACCAAAAACGTACCCTCTCGCTCTTTTATGGTGGTCCAACCATCTGAGTGCAGCTTGAGCCCAAGTGCTAAAGTCCATATTCAGGTTGGTCAGCAGCAGCAGTCTTGCCTGGAACCAAGAGATGGACCACCTGAATAGCATGAGCTGGGTCAACGAGACAGAGCCTTAGGCCCAGAAATCTTTCCTGCTGTCAGGATAAATTAGTTTGTTTCACAACAGGACTCCTGAAGATCAGAATTTCTGTATCTGTAAGACTTCTATGACTTAAAGAATTTCTGTACGTGTGAAATTATACTACTAGAAATACAAGATTGAAGAGTCTCCTTGTAAAAGCTAGTGTTAATGGCTAATAATCTAGCCAGGATTTGGAGATCAGGGAAAATAGGATTGAACTGTGTGGGCAAAGGAGATTAAGTAGCAGTGGAGGAGCTGAAAGGGGAATGGAAAAGTCAACGGACAGCTTCTACTTTACCATCTGTTTTATCAGCCTGGTAATCTGACGCCTGCCAGAGCTATGTGGTCATGTGTTCCCTGCTTTGCCTCTTTCTCAGGATTTATAAACCCTTGTGGTGGGAGAATATGGAGCCGCATACATCTAGAGGGTTTTTTTATTTTTATTTTTTGAGACTGCACTTCACTCTTGCTGCCCAGGCTGGAGTGCAATGGCCTGATCTTGGCTCACTGCAACCTCTGCTTCCTGGGTCCAGGCGATTCTCCTGCCTCAGCCTCCCAAGTAGCTGGGATTACAGGCATGCGCCACCAGGCCCAGCTGATTTTCTTTTTAAATTTTCTATTTTTAGTAGAGATGGGGTTTCACCATGTTGGTCAGGCTGGTCTCGAACTCCTGACCTCAGGTGATCCGCCACCTCAGCCTCCCAAGTTGCTGGGATTACAGGTGTCAGCCATTGCGCCTGGCTGAGGTTTATTTTTCAAAGAATGACCAAGAGGCTGGGTGTGGTGGCTCACAGTTGCAAATCCCAGCACTTTGGGAGGCCAAGGCAGGTGCATCACTTGAGGTCAGGAGTTCGAGAACAGCCTGGCCAATATGGTGAAACCCCATCTCTACTAAAAGTACAACAATTAGTGGGGCGTGGTGGTGTGGCCTGTAATGGGAGGCTGAGACAGGAGAATTGCTTGAACCTGGGAGGCAGAGGTTGCAGTGAGCCAAGATCACACCACTGCACTCCAGCCTGGGCGACAGAGTGAGACTCCCTCGCAAAAAAAAAAAAAAAGACGAAAAACTCCATGAAACTACCATTCAATAAATAATCAATAAATAAGATGCAATTTCTCACAGCTCAGTTTACAAAGAAGGAAATTTAATAAATGGTTGAAGATATACCCCCGACTGAACCCACAAGTTCTCTGAGTAGACTCATGGAATTCTAAAGAGTTGGTTGCTTGGAGACTGATAGAAACAGCTTTGGAACCTAAGAAACCAAGGAAGGTTTAAGATGCAGAACCTTGCTTCTCTCTGAGGACTGCCTTGTAGGAGGCCATTTGGAAAGTAATTTTGAAACACTGCTCCTTTGCCAGTATCTGAAAGGTGCTGGATGGTGTCAGCTGGAAGATGAGGGGCAACCTGAGGTAGCTGAAAAAACTTTGGATTAGGTGTCAAAAGGGTCAGTACTACTTTAGATACCAAGCAGTATGGTGATCTTAATGATTTCTCTCCTCTCTGGGCCCCAGTTTTGGGATTTATAAAATCAGGACATTAGGCCTGGTGCAGTGGCTCATGCCTGTATTCCTAGCATTTTGGGAGGCCAAGGTGGGAGGATCGTTTGAGTCCAGGAGTTCAAGACCAGCCTGAACAACATGGTGAGACTCTATCTCTACAAAAAAAAAAAAAAAAAAAAAAAAATTTAACCGAGAGTGGTGTGCTATGTGCCTATGCTCCCAGCTATGTGGGAGGATTGCTTGAGCCCAGGAGGTCAAGGCTGCAGTGAGCCATGATCACGCCACTGTACTCCAGGAGAGTGAGACCCTGTCTCAAAAAAACAAACAAACAAAAAACAAATCAAGGCATTAGACCAGGTCATCTTTATAGCAGAGTTTCCAGAGTAATCTCTGGAGACAGCTGTATAGCTGTGTGAGTGCATGGTGAGAAATTAGAAAGTAGAGGGGAAAAAATGAGGGGAACTTTTTGAGGGCAAAAAGGGAGAAAGGGGGACTTGAAACAAGCCAGGTTAAGCAGCTGTTCCCTAATCCCACTCTCCCCACTAACCAGGCTTCCTTCATACACCCCACTGACACCCTTTGGGCTGTGCTTTCTTTAAATGTATTGTGTATTAAACCTGAGAGCTTGTGAAAATGCAGATTTCTAGGCCTCACTTGCAGGCTACTGAATCAGCATTCTGGGAGTAGGACACAAGAGTCTGATGTAAAAGGTTCTTTACCCGTATCTATTCCAGGCGCAGTCCCAGCATTTCTGGAGGCCAAGGCAGGAAGATCGCTTGATTCCAGGAGTTTGAAACCAGCCTGGACAACATAGTAAGACCCTGTCTCTACAAAAAAAGTTTTAAAACATTAGCCAGGCATGGTGGTGCACACCTGTGGTCCCAGCTACTGGGGACGCTGAGGCAGGAGGATTGCTTGAGCCTGGGAGGCAAGGCTGCAGTGAGCCATGACTGTGCCACCGCACTCCAGCTTGGGTGACAGAGTGAGGCCCTGTCTCAAACATAAATAAATAAACAAAAAACTGTATCTAACAAACACCACCCCAGAAGCTGACTGCACACTCTTGGACTCCACCTCAGAACTTCAGAATCCAAATCTGTTGGTAGAGATGAGAGTATTATTTTTTTAAAGCTTTCAGAAGATACTGATACTAAGGCTTATTGCTTTTTAGTCTTTTCTTTCAAGGCAGTTTCCTCTATTTTAATAACAAGGGAGAATGCAAGATATTACTCCTTTTAGCACACGTTACTCAACCTACTTTGACCACTTGTACAGGATAAAGGTATCAGACCAGAGGGTGAGGGTAAGCGACTGATAAGCAAACAGAAAAGTAGAACTAAATTTGGAATCTCTGAGATACTACCCATTTTGAGTTGAGTTCTGTATTCATAAAATATTAGAGGCAGGAGAGGAATTTAGTCCAACTCCTACATTTTCTAGTTGGGGATCTAGGAAGTTCATCAGGTTTTAACTAGAGGCATGTAGCCTAACCCTTCCAACCCCATTCCTCCCCTTCTAGCCCAAGTTCCTAGAAATGCAGATAATGCTGGTGGGTTGCTCATTCCAGGGCCTGGTCTGCAGTTATGCCAGGATTGACTTAATTTTTTTTTTTTTTTTTTTTTTTGAGACAGAGTCTCACTCTGTTGCCCAGGCTGGAGTGCAGTGGCACGAGCTTGGCTCACTGCAACCTCCGACTCCTGGGTTCAAGCAATTCTCCTGTCTTAGCCTCCCAAGTAGCTGGGATTACAGACATGTACCACTGCGCCTGGCTAATTTTTTGTATTTTTAGTAGAGACGGAGTTTCACCATGTTGGTCAAGCTGGTCTTGAACTCCTAACCTCAGATGATCCACACGCCTCAGCCTCCCAAAGTGCTGGGATTACACGCATGATCCACCACGCCTGGCCGATTGACTTAATTTTTTATGCTGTGTACAAAAGGACCCAGGACCTGCCACTCTGCTTTTGGTTCTAGAGGGCTATTTGTTGGAAGTGGGTGCTGCCTCATAATGCTGGTCACGTAATGTGTAAGTTTCAATAATAAGGAGCCTCCAAACTCCATTAATAAGTCCTTTCTTCCTTCTCTAAGCACCCTCTCTTTTAATTGCTGAGTACCCCATAGCCCTAAATTCTTCCCGAAGCGCTCAGTGCATCTAACTGTAGGACCCAGAGACTTGCCTTCTAAGGACAACAGTCCATCCTCTAAACTAATAATAACAATTCCTCACACATATATTTTAGTTTGCAAAGAACTTTCATACATGTTTCTGATTTTGAGCTTCATATCAATCAACACTAAATTAGAACAGGTATCAGACTCAATTTTCAGATTGGGAAACTACAGATTTTAAATTATTTGCCCAAGGTAACATGACTGGGAAGTGCACAATTTGGCCTTACACCTGTCCCGTGACTCCAAGGCAGACAAAGACAAGCCAGAACAAGCCTCTTTTGATCAGACCTAGTAATATTTTGTTCTGTCCCCATTCCTTTTCAAAACAGACCTATCATGTGTTCCCTTCCTTCTTAATAAGCCATCATATCAGATAATAACTATTCCTTAAGTTTTTTTTTTTTTTTTTTTTTTGAGATGAAGTTTCGCTCTTGTCGTCCAGGCTGGAGTCCAGTGGCGCGATCTTGGCTCACTGCAACCTCCGCCTCCCAGCTTCAAGCGATTCTGCCTCAGCCTCCTGAGTAGCTGGGATTACGGATGCCCACCACCACACCCGCTAATTTTTTGTATTTTTAGTAGAGATGGGGCTTCGCCATGTTGGCCAGACTGATTTCAAACTCCTGACCTCAGGTGATCTGCCCACCTCAGCCTCCCAAAGTGTTGGGATTACAGGCATGAGCCACCGCGCATAGCCTCCTTAAGAATTTCTAATAATTGATAATGGTAATATGGTATTCTTTCTGGGATGTTTGCATTGTAACTAAAGATTCTTTACGTCACAGGCTAAAGGGCATTTATCTGGGGACATCCTAAATCACTCCTTTTTTTTTTTTTTTTTTTTTTTTGAGATGGAGTTTTGCCCCTGTTACCCAGGCTGGAGTACGGTGGCAACCTCTGCCTGTCAGGTTCAAGGAACTCTCCTGCCTCAGCCTCCCAAGTAGCTGGGATTACAGGCACCTGCCACCATGACTGGCTAATTTTTTGTATTTGTAGTAGAGATGGGGTTTCGCCATGTTGGCCGGGCTGGTCTCGAACCCCTGATCTCAGGTGATCCACCTGCCTTGGCCTCCCAAAGTGCTAGGATTACAGGCATGAGCCATCCTGCCTGGCCCTGACTGTGTATTTTCATATAACCTGTCTTCAAGCTCACCAATTCTTTCTTCTGCTTGACCAATTCTGCTGTTGAGAGACTCCAATGCATTTTTTAGTCAACTTAATTTTTCAGCTCTAGAAGTGATGCTTGATTTTTTTTCTTTTGCGAAGTGAAAGCAAGTTTATTAGAGAAGTAAAGAAACAAAAGAATGGCTACTCCATAGGCAGAGCAGCCTTTCTGCTTGATTTTTGTTATTTCAATCTCTTTTTGAAATTTCTGATAGAATTCTGAATTTCTTCTCGGTGTTATCTCGAAGTTTGAGCTTCTTCAAGACTACTATTTTGAATTCCCTGTCTGGAAAGGTCACATATCTCTGTCACTCCTGGATTGGTCACTGGTGCCTTATTTAGTCCATTTGGTGAAATAATGTTTTCCTGGATGTTCTTGATGCTTGTGGATGGTCATCAATGTCTGGACATTGAAGAGTTAGGTATTTATTCCAAGTCTTTACAGTCTGGACTTATTTGTACCCATCCTCCTTGAGAAGGCTTTCTATATATTCAAAGGGGATTAAGTGCTGTGACTTAAGCCTACGGTCTCTGCAGCTGATGTATACCAGGGGGTGCCCTAAGCCTATGACCCCTGCAACTGTTGCCAACTCCTGGATACTCCTGTATCTTTGGTGGCCTTGGGTAAGATAAGGGAAAATTCCCCGGTTACCCAGGCAACATCTCTCACTTTGTCTCTTCTCTTTCCCCCAGTCAGGAATCTCTCTCCCCACTGGGCTGTCTGGAGTTGGGGGGAAGGGTGACATGAGCACTCCCATGGCCACCACAGATGGCAGTGCACTGGGTCACACCTGAAGCTTTGCAGACCAGTACAGTATTGGATCCTGCCCAAGGCCTGTGGCCAGAACTGCTTAGCTACCACTGATATTTACTCAAAGCCCAAGGGCACTTTAGTCAGCAGGTGGGGAATCCTGCCAGGATAAATCTGACCCATCAGAGCAGTGGATTCCCTTCTGGCGCAGGGTAGGTCTGGAAATGTAGCTTAGGAGCAAAGGCCTGGAATCAGGAGCCTCAGGATTCTGCCTGGTGCTTTATTTTCCTGTGGCTGAGCTGCTACTCAAAGTCTTCTGGACTTTGTCTTGCAACTTGAGTACTCTTCCCTCTCCTTTCCCCAAGTAGGAGTCTCTCCCTGAGCTGCCCTGTCTGGAGTTGGGGGAGGAATGATGCAGGCACTCCCTTGTTCACCACAGTTGGTGTCACACGCGGTCACACACACCCAAAGTCCACTGCCTCCATGACCAGTGCATCTCCAGGGTTTGCCTAAGGAATATAGTCCTTGTGACCTGACTGTCACTCATATGTATTCAGGGCCCCAGGCCACTTTGGTCAGCTGGTGGCAGAACCAGCTGGGACTCAGGTCTGTCCCACTCTACCTGAGGATTCTCCTCTGGCCCAGAGCTGATCTAAATGTGTCCTCTGTGGGTGCCAGCAGAATTCTGCTCAGTGTAGTGCTGTGCTGTGACAGGGCAGCAGTGAGTTCCAATGCAAAATCCCACACTCCTCTCGCTCCACCACATGCACAGATTCTCTCTCCAAGCTGTTGTGCCAGAGGTGAGGGAGGGGGGCATAGGCGATGCAGGACCGTCTTTCCCACCCTCTTCAGTGCCTCTTCTTGATACGATGTGAAAACCAGGTACTGTGATCACTCACCTGATTTTTTGTTTCTTATGAAGATGCTTTTTTTTTTTTTTTAAATAAGGAGTCTCACTCTGTCACCCAGGCTGGAGCGCAGTGGCACCATTTCGTCTCACTGCAACCTCTGCTTCCCAGGTTCAAGCAATTCTTCTGCCTCAGCCTCCCAAGTAGCTGGGATTATAGGCCCCCACCACCACGCCCAGCTAATTTTTGTATTTTTAGTAGAGATGGGGTTTCTCCATGTTGGCCAGGCCAGTCTTGAACTCTTGACTTCAAGTGATTTGCCCAATTTAGCCTCCCAAAGTTCTGGGATTACTGACGTGAGCCACCGCATCCGGCCTAAAGGTGCTTTCCTTGTGGGGACAGTTGTTCAGTTTGGTGTTCCTGCATGGAGACAATCGCTGGAGGGGTCTGTTTGGCCGTCTTGCTCTAGCCTTTCTATTTTCAGCCAGTGGGAGTAGCCACTGTTTCAGGAGAAAACATCATCTTGTGACCACCCTCTTTCTCTTAACTTGCCTTCATGAAGACGTTGCCTTCATGGTTGTGAAGAGATGAAGCAATTACATTTAGCCTTATGTGCAAAAAGTCCTGGAGTGATAGCATATTAATCATGTGTCACGTAATTTGAGGGAGGTTATTGATTCTGGCCTAATGGCATCTAGATGAAAGTTGAGCCTTTGCTGAGTGCTGTAGCTCACACCTGTAATCCCAACGCTTTGAGAAGCCAAGGCAGGCAGATTGTTGACCCCAGGAGTTTGAGACCAGCCTGGGCAACATAGTGAGACCCCATCTCTATTAAAAATAAAAAACAGATAGCTGGGTGTGGTGGCGCATGCACCTGTAGTCCCAGCTACTTGGGAGGCTGAAGTAGGAGGATTACTTGGGCCCAGGAGGTTGAGGCTGCAGTGAGCTATGATCGTGCCAGTGCTGCACTCCAGCCTGGGCGACAGAACAAGACCCTGTCTCAAAAAAACAAAACAAAAGAAAAAAAACACACAAAAAAGAACTTGCCCTTAACAGAAAGAAATACAATACGGTCACTTTTACACATGGAAGACAGTAAGAGAAATCATGCCCTAGGGAGAGAGGCTATGTGCTGGGTGTTAAGGAGTAAAGAGAAACAAGTCAGATCTGGTCTGCATGGGCACCTTGGACACCGGGCAGGAGTTGACACTAGCAGGATAGAAACATATGGAATAATGGTCTCTCCTTCATCCTTACACATAAGGAGGCCTACCTGTTCCTTGGAGAGGCAAGGCCAACAAAGTGAGTGGTAGGGAGTGGTGCTTGGGCCAAGGCCAGTGTGGCACGGAGGTTAAGTGCTCCAGAGTTGTGATCTAGTAGGCTAGATTTGAAACCTGACTCCTCTGCTTACGGGCTATGTGATCTGAAGCAATTTACCTACCTCTCTGAACCTCAGCTTCTTAAAATAGGAAAGGAAGATCATAATATCTTCCCTACGTAAAATCCTCAGCAAGGTTATTCCAAAACTATCATTATTAGGCCAAGGGAATGCTTCAAAAGGAAAACAAAACAAAACTAAACTAACATTAAATCTAAGCATTTGTTATCTACAGTGTTTGCCATGCTAGCTAAAATCTGGAAACAACCCATCCAATAATTCATGAAGAGTCAAAACCATTTACCTATTTGATAAAATACGTTACAGCTATAATATATATATATATATATATATATATTTTTTTTTTTTTTTTTTGAGACGGAGTTTTGCTCTTGTTGCCCAGGCTGGTGTGCAATGGCATGATCTTGGCTCACTGCAATCTCCCCCACCCTGGGTTCAAGCAATTCTCCTGCCTCAATCTCCCAAGTAGCTGGGATTACAGGCACATGCCACCGCGCCTGGCTAATTTTTTGTATTTTTAGTAGAGATGGGATTTCACCATGTTGGCCAGGCTGGTCTCAAACTCCAGACCTCAGGTGACCCACCCACCTCGGCCTCCCAAAGTGCTGGGATTACAGGCGTGAGCCACTGCGCCCGGCCTACAGCTATTAAATATTTTAACAATAAAAACTATGTAGCAATAGGTGTGCTGGATGACTCTGAAAGACAGAAGAAATGGGAGACATGGTCACTGGGCAATGGAATTAGAGTCTCAAATATTTAACAATGCGAGGTATCATAGGATTAACAGTTAAAGTAAGTGGTACAGACCAGGAGGAATTTATAAACTTGGGTATGACCTGGTGGCCTGGATAGGTCAAGAAAGAGTTATGGAGCAGCACAAATTGAGCTGGGCCTGGAAATTGGATAGAATTTGTGTCAAGTACGAAAGGCCATTTCATGTAGAGGACACAGAAGGAAGCTTCATTATGTGGAGAGAGGATACTCAGAGAACAGCCAGGAGACTGGACTGGCTCAAGCAGAGGTTACATGCCAGGACAAAGTCATAAACTGAGGCCAAACTCATGGAGAACCCTGAATGCCATGCTGAATAGTCTGAACTTTACACTATAAGCCTTTTGAATGAAAGAAAGCAACATTTAAAGACAAACTGGAAGCATGGGATACTGCTGAAAAGCAGTCATCCCTCACACGGAGATGAGGGTCTGAGCTTTGGGAACAAGTATAAGAACCAAAAACACGGGTCTGATACATGAAATATTTAGGATGTTGCACCATTTTCTTCTTTTGTTCTTCTAACTCACATGGCTCTTCCCCACCCCCTTTCCATCTGTTTTTCAAGTTATTCTCTTTCTGAACTGCTATGGGCTACCAATTTCTGCTGCTCTAGAGTTCTCATCAGTTCCTCCCATTCCCTTAACAGGTGCCAGGTCTCATCTCCAGGCCTTTCCTCTAGGCCAGGCAGTGTGGAAGGAAGCATTTGCTGGGACGCGGTATGACCAGGACCCAGAAGGGAAAGACCTTTCTCCCCCATTGCTTCTATCAGTCACTGCCCCCACGACTGGGATGGGGCATGATTTTAAACTACTCAAAATTGAAAGGCAAGGAGGAGTGTGCCTCTGTCTCCAGTGTGCCTATGGTCTTCTTCAGCTCACAGTACCGTCTACACCGCAAGAGCCAATATTTGAAAATGGCTGCTGCAAACCTTACCTTCTCTCAGGAGGTGGTGTGGCAGCGAGGCCTGCCCAGCATTCCTTATAGCCAGTACAGCTTTGACCACCTCTACAATACCAATGACATCATCCATACTCCCCAGATCAGGAAGGCCCGGCCTCAGAAACCTGTTAGCTTCAAGTTCCTGGGTTCCTCAAGTCCCTTAACAGGAGACACCTCCCTGGCTGTGAAGACAGAAAGCTCTGCCAATCCCGAAAAGAAGCTGAAGAAATCAAAGCCAGCCAGCACCGTCCGGGAAGCACCCCGCCCTCTCATCCATCATCCCTGCATGCATCCAGATATGCTGGGTCGGCCACCTTCTCTAGATGTGAACCTGGAGGAAAGAGAAGCCTGGCTTCTGCCTCCTGAGAAGGAGGCCAGAGCGTGGGAGGCCACTGTGCTGGAAAAGCTGAACGAGCGCACAGCCCGATGGATCCAGAGCAAGCGTCCTCGAAGGCCTGGGGCATCCCCCAACAAGTGGCAGAGCTTCCTGCGCCAGCAGTACGACTGGAGTCACATTCGGGATGAGCTTACCTCTGCCAGTGACCTGGAGCTCCTGAAACAGCTGGAGGCAGAAGAGACAGCAGAGTTTGAGGATCAAAGTGTCATCCTGCCCCCACAGGAAAAGAAGAAGCCAGAACTGCTGCTTCCCGTTTACTACAGGTATACTGGCCAGGGCCTCAAGTGCACCTTTGATAATCCCTGACTCCCCTTTAGGGACTCCCAGGTGGACTCACACTCCCGATTTCAGAATGCACTCTCCCATCAACTTCATGTTCTCCACCACCGGCCTGCTCTCTGAGAGCTCTGCAAAGTAAGGTTTCTCAATTTGCACTGCTGACATTCTGGGTTGGATAATTTTTGTTGTGGGAGCTGCCCTGTTCATTATGGGATGCAAGCAGCATCCCTGGCTCATACCCACCAGAGCACAAACTCCTAGCTGTGAAAACCAAAGATGTCTCAGACACTGCCAGATGTCTCCAAGAGGAACAAAGTCATTCCCAGCTGGGAACCACTGCTCTTAAAGGGATTGGTTCTCAACCTTCTCCAGCAGACTTTGCCATCAGACTGCTGGTGTAGTTACCAACCAGGTGCTCCCAGAAATGTATCCTTGGTGGAGTGAGGAAGGCAGGAACCTCATAGCACCGAGGTTTGGTCCTGCCTTACTCTGAATAAGGAACCAGTGTGTCACTGACTCAAAAACTGACTAGCTGCAGGACAGAGAACCAGACAACCTGAGAGAAGAAGATGACTACATGTTTCTTAGATTGCTTCTATCTCATTTATAGCTAGAGGGAAGACTGGAGCTATTACACTATCCCTGATTTCCAAGAGTGAACTAAAAATCAGTGGAAATCCATTTATTTATTCATTTATTGGACAAATATAAATTATGTTCTTGCTACTTTCCAGGCACTCTGCAAAGTGCTGGGAATACAATGTAAAAGCAACAGACACAGATATGTACCTTTAAGGAGCTTACAGCCTGTCCACCACCAGGTGGATGGACATTAAATAACCACACACAGAATAGACAGAGTGAGATGACGAAGGAGGTGGGATCCCTTCCCCAAGGCCATGCCGCCTCTAAGAGTACGAATGTTAAAAAAGGGTTATGCTGGAGCACCGCCACTCTGCCCTGCTGCTTGGTGGCTGCAGAAGGCATGGATCCTTTAGTAGCCAGGCAGGACAGCTGTAGACAGGCCCTTCTGGCAGCTCCACATTCAACTGGCACCATGGGGACAAGGCTAAAAGTTAAACATTGGTGTTCTGCAATGCTCACGTGTATAGGAGCTGAGCTTAAAGAGGAAAGGGAACGAGCTGTGGATTTAATGGAAAGGGGGATCCACCTCCTACTCTTTCCCCCTTTTCCCTCCTTTCTCACCCCTGCCAAGATTGCCCAGTTACTTCCAACAAGCAGAGACAGTTGAGATCATGCCTGGCAACAAGAGCACTGAGGATATCCATGAAAAGACGAGCCTCTCCCAGCCCCAAACCCAGAGCTACTTTCGCCAGGTGACTCCCCGAGCTGGAAAGTTTGCCTACTCCACAGACAACACCTTTGAACAGGAGATTTACTTTGGTAATAGAGCTGGGCCCCTGTGGTAGGGGCACACGGGGACATGGGCCAGGAAGGTGGAAGATTGCTGGGGGCTGGAAACAGTTGTGGGTATGGACAAGAGGCCCTGGATGACCCAGGTTTTCATGTTCATGACCCAGCACCCACACTAGCACAGGAGTTGGGTCGGGGAGTGATAACTAATAGGGAGGGAACTGCTCTCTCTCCCCGCTTTCTCTATCCCTCTATCTTACTAAAGAGGCAATGAAGGGTGGAACTGTAAAGTTGGCAAGACTTTGGGAACAATCCATCTCTTCTCTATCTACCCTTCTCCCTTCTCTCACTTCGAGATATTCTCCCACTTCGAGATATTCTCCCACCAAGGTGCTATGTTGGAAAAAATCAGGGCTTTGGAGTCAGGCACATTTGGGTTTAAATCCTGGCTCAGTATTTTTTTAGTAACCTTCAGTAAATTATATAATTCCTCTGAGCCACAAGTACCTTATTTGTGAAGTGATGTTAACAAAAATGCACTTTGAGTAGAGTAGATGAGAAAGCATCTGTAATGCTTCTTGCTCAATGTCTGTTTAAGGTGTTCAGTAAATGTTTGCCACCTTCCCTGTCCCTACTGCTGTCCCTTAGATGCCTGGGCTTCCAGGATACTCAATCTAGGTCTTCGTGTTCCAAGCTGTTTCTTCTTCCCAAGCCCCATCTTGTTCCTAAACTGCTGCAGCTGAAAGTCTTCTCAAAGTGTTTAACAAAATTACTCTAAGTATTCATGACTGATGAGATTAATTAGGTGCCTCTTTTTTAGTATCTAGCTTTTTATAAGGGATAAGGCCTCTAAGTGGTTACATAGGTTCTTTTCTTTTGTTTTCTTTTCTATTGAGACGGAGTCTTGCTCTGTCGCCAGGCTGGAGTGCAGTGACACAATCTTGGCTCACTGCAACCTCTGCCTCCACCTCCCAAATAGCTGGGATTATAGGCGCGCATCACCACGCCCAGCTAATTTTTGTATTTCTAGTAGAGACAGGGTTTCACCATGTTGGCCAGGATGGTCACAATCTCTTGACCTTGTGATCCGCCCTCCTTAGCCTCCCAAAGTGCTGGGATTACAGGCGTGAGCCATGGTGCCCAGCCGGTTCTTTTCTTATTTTTGAAATGGTTTCACTCCCATTGCCTAGGCTGGAGTGCAGTGGTGCTATCTTCACTGCAACCTCCACCTCCCAGGCTCAACTGATTCTCCTGCCTCAGCCTCCCGAGTAGCTGTACCCAGCTAATTTTTGTATTTTTTGTAGAGACGGGGGTCTTACAGTGTTGCCCAGGCTGGTCTCGAACTCCTGATGATGTGATCCACCCACCTCGGCCTCCCAAAGTGCTGAGATTACAGGTGTGAGCCACCACACCCGGCCATAGGTTCTGCCTTAGGAAGGAAATCACCATCCTTGGCTCCCAGGCCTCTAATGAGGTGACTAGCTATGACATTTCCTTTTTCTTTTTTTTTTCCCCCACAGACACTATAGTGATTTATCACTGTGATATTTCTAAGCAATGGTCACCTTCAAGGGATGCCCCAGAGTATGGCAGTCATGGATCCTAGGGGCTTAGATTAGGGCAAAAGGAAGTTGGGTCTGATCCTGGTGATTAGGAACCCAGGGAGAAAGGAAATAGGGAGGTTATAGGGGACTCATTGTTTCTTTGTCTGTTCACAGATGAAGTCCAGATCATCCACCAGATTGGTGCAAAGAGAGACCAGATTGTCCTGGAAAACCTAAATCGGTACAACAAGCAGCTATCTAAGGTCTTCCCTGAAACTCCAGAAAAGTGGAGTGCCCAGGCAATTCCTGAAGCATGTAAGCAGGAAGCTAACAGGGAAGGCAGGGGTTAATAACGGGAATGTGGCTACTTCCCATCATTACCCACTATTCATGTGCTAGAGCTCCCAGTTCATGGGCTGAAGCACCATTAGCATCTAGGCAATCCCCTTTCTACGTACTAAAAATAATCTCACAAAATTATAAAATACTAACTATAACTAGGAAGAGCCTCACAGGAACATACAATCACTTGAGATCTGATATAACTTAGGTATAACCAAGTGGTTTAGGGCCACTAGTTACCAATAAGGCAGCTCCTATCTCAATGCTAACAGGGAAAGTGCACCTAACAGGGAAAGTGCATCAAACTCCTGACCCAGCATTCTGCCCTTTTCCCTTGGGCTGGCTCTACCCTCCCACTCCACACTCAGCCCACCCATACCTGAACTTTCACAAGTTCATCATTCTTCACTCTGTAAGACAAAGAGGGAAAGAAGGTGACCAAGAAATTAGCTTATGAAACAAAATGTGCACATCTTCCACAAGACTCTATTTCCCATGACTCTTTGTAGGATTACTGTTCAGATGGGCCCAGTGGTGTGCAGAAACTAACAGCAGTTGTCACCCATTCCTTTTTTTTTTTTTTCTTTTTTTGGAGACAGAGTCTTGCTCTGTCACCCAGGCTGGAGTGCAGTGGCGTGATCTCTGCTCACTGCAACCTCCATCTTCCTGGTTCAAGCAATTCCCCTGCCTCAGCCTCCAGGGTAGCTGGAATCACAGGTGCATGCCTCCACACCTGGCTGACAGGGTTGCCTGGCCTGCTAGTTGTGCCTTTGCATCCACTTGGCAAGAAGTCCTTCCCTGGGCTCAGTCTATCCTTGGAGGCACAGGCACATTCTGTGCCTGCTGTGGAGGCACCCGCCAGACAGCTGTGGACAGCCACAGGATTTCCACACAACCTGGCTTTGTTTTTGAGATAAAGTCTCGCTCTGTCGCCCAGGCTGGAGTGCGGTGGCGTGATCTCGGCTCACTGCAACCTCCGCCTCCTGGGTTCAAGTGATTCTCCTGCCTCTGCCTCACGAGTAGCTGGGACTACAGGTGCGCGCCACCACACCCAGCTAATTTTTGTATTTTTAGTAGAGACGGGGTTCACCATGTTGGCCAGGATGGTCTTGATCTCTTGACCTCGTGATCTGTCCACCTCGGCCTCCCAAAGTGCTGGGATTACAGGCGTGAGCCACCGTGTCCAGCCTCTTTTTCTTTTCTCCTTCCTCCCTTCCTTTTTTTCCTTCCTTTCCTTCTCCCTTTCCTTCCTTCATGTCTCCCTTTCCTCTCTTCCCCCTTCCCCTCCCCTTCCCTCTCTCTCTTTTCTTCTTCTTTTTTTTTTTTTTTTGACAGGGTCTCACTCTGTTTCCCAGGCTGAGCACAGTGGTACAATCATGGCTCACTGCAGCCTTTACCTTCCTGAGCTCAAGCAATCCTTCCACCTCACTCTCCCGAGTAGCTGGAACTACAGGTGCACACCACTATACCCAGCTAATTTTTGTAAAGACAAGGTCTTGCTGTGTTGCCCAGGCTGGTCTCAAACTTCTGGGCTCAAGTGATGCACCCTCTTCAGACTCCCAAAGTGTTGGAACTACAGGCATGAGCCACTCTCCCAGCCAGAGGATTCTTTTTCAATAACAGCTTTATTGAGCTTGAATTTACATACTATAAAATTAATCCTGTTAAACCATACAATTTGATGAGGCAGGCAGATCGCTTGAGCCTAGCAGTTTCAGACTAGTCTAGGCAACAAGGTGAGACCCCGTCTCTACAAAAAAATACAAAACTTAGTTGGGCATGGTGGCACGCACCTGGAGTCCCAGCCACTCGCGAGGCTGATGCAGGAGGATCAGGGCCACAGGTGTGCACCCTACACTCAGCTAATTTTTAACTTTTTTAGAGATAGGGTCTCACTATGTTGCCCAGACTGGTCTCGAACTCCTGGCCACAAGGGGTCCTCCCACCTTAGCCTCCCAAACAAAGTGCTGGGATTATAGGCATGAGCCACTGTACCCTGCCAAGAGTCATTACTTTGTGTGCTCCCTTTAGATCGGCAGTCCTCAACCTTTTTGGCACCAGGGACCGGTTTCGTGGAAGATAATTTTTCCACAGACCAGCGGGGTGGGGATGGTTTGAGGATGAAATGGTTCCACCTCAGATCATCAGGCATTAGATTATCATAAAGGGTGCGCAGCCTAGACCCCTCACATGTGCAGTTCACAGTAAGGTTCATGCTACGTGACTCTAATGCCACTGCTGATCTGACAGGAGGCAGAGCTCACTGGTAATGCTTGCCCACCCACCACTCACATCCTGTTGTGGTGGCCCGGTTCCTAACAGGCCATGAACTGGTACAGGCCCATGGCCTGGGGGTTAGGGACCCCAGCTTTAGATGACTGTTGATGTGGAAGATGGCTAGTGGATGTGTTTCTATCCAGCTATAACCCAAAGGACTGGAACCAAAGTAAAAGTTGGCAGTTGTATTTTTTATTCCTATGAGGTTAAATATCAGAGATCTAAGACTTGCTCACCGCAAATCCATTTTAACTCCTTGAGCAGAGGGATATAGGAGAAATGGGGTTAATTCAGCTACTTCTCATCTCTTCAGGAGGGATTTCAAATCGCCTGAGAGAAGTCGGGGAGCGTCACATGGCAAAGTGTGAGCTGGCCTGTCAGAGGTGGTTCCACAGCTCCTAGTTGCACACACCCTACCCCAGAAAGGAGGGAGGCCTCAGCAGAGTGGCTGAGTCCCCCAGCACGTCCAAGCTGGTGGGGACCATTTGGAGGAGATGCATTGTATGGGCATCTTTGCTAAACTGCCCTGGAGTCTCACAGGACTCTTTTTTTTTTTTTTTTTTTTTTTTTTGATGACTGTTGATGTGGAAGATGGCTAGTGGATGTGTTTCTATCCAGCTATAACCCAAAGGACTGGAACCAAAGTAAAAGTTGGCAGTTGTATTTTTTATTCCTATGAGGTTAAATATCAGAGATCTAAGACTTGCTCACCGCAAATCCATTTTAACTCCTTGAGCAGAGGGATATAGGAGAAATGGGGTTAATTCAGCTACTTCTCATCTCTTCAGGAGGGATTTCAAATCGCCTGAGAGAAGTCGGGGAGCGTCACATGGCAAAGTGTGAGCTGGCCTGTCAGAGGTGGTTCCACAGCTCCTAGTTGCACACACCCTACCCCAGAAAGGAGGGAGGCCTCAGCAGAGTGGCTGAGTCCCCCAGCACGTCCAAGCTGGTGGGGACCATTTGGAGGAGATGCATTGTATGGGCATCTTTGCTAAACTGCCCTGGAGTCTCACAGGACTCTTTTTTTTTTTTTTTTTTTTTTTTTTTGAGATGGAGTCTCGCTTTGTCACCCAGGTTGGAGCGCGATCTCAGCTCACTACAACCTCCGCCTCCCCAGTTCAAGTGATTCTTCTGCTTCAGCATCCCGAGTAGCTGGGATTACAGGCGCCCACCACCACGCCTAGCAAATTTTTGTATTTTTAGTAGAGACAGGGTTTCACCATGTTGGTCAGGCTGGTCTCGAACTTGTGACCTCAAGTGATCCACCCGCTTTGGCCTCCCAAAGTGCTGGGATTACAGGCATGAGCCACTGCACCCCGCCTCACAGGACTCTTTTTACATTAGAAGAAAGAAATGTTATGTCTTCCTTGCTCAAAGGAAAGAATTGATTCAGAGCAAATCTAAAGGTGTTAAGAGTCAGAATGAAATCTTGGAAAAAAACAGAAATGGCTGATAGTGACTGATTAGAACATGAGACTAATAGGCAGTGTGAATAATGAATTTAGTACATCTGGAAATGTTTTTATCATTTTTCCCTTCCCCTTCTCCATAGAGCTTTTTTTCTGAGAAAGAGGCTTTCTAAATTTGACACCATGAAAAACATTAAGTTCAGAAAATATAACTATAGTTTTTTTTTTGTTTTTTTTTTTTGAGAACGGAGTCTCACTCTGTCGTCCAGGCTGGAATGCAGTGGTGCAATCTCAGCTCACTGCAACCTCCGCCTCTCAGGTTCAAGTGATTCTCCTGCCTCAGCCTCTCAAGTAGCTGAGACTACAAGCACATGCCACCATGCCCGGCCAATTTTTTGTATTTTAGTAGAGACGGGGTTTTCACCGTGTTAGCCAGGATGGTCTCGATCTCCTGACCTCGTGATCTGCTCGCCTCGGCCTCCCAAAGTACTGGGATTACAGGCAAAAGCCACCGTACCCGGCCAACTATAGCTTTTCTAACTATATCTAATATTTACGGCTTCTTCTGTTCTCAAATTTCTGTTGTCTTGAGGAAAAACTCAGAGATGTTAAAATCTTTAAAATTTCACAGCTTATAGCACTATTATTCTCCCCAAATTAAAAACATTAAAAGGAAAACTTAATACTTTAGAAATAATGGCCAATGACACTAAATTGCAACGTATCAAATATTATGAGCAAATCTCGTTACATATAAACATATTTATGTTCCTAAAGATTTAGGTTCCTAAAGATAACCTTTAAACTTATAGAAAGGTTTGTAGATATCTCAATTTCCCCCCACAAATCTCTCACCCCCATCATCATCATGGCTTACCATGTCTAGTCAGGACTTTCCATAATTCCCTGTGTACATGTACTCAGTTCCCCATATAATCATGGGGAAATTCACTCTTGAGGGTTTTGTTTTGCTTTGGTATTAGTCAGGAATAGGAATGGGATGCAAGCTGGGGCCACTGTGTGGCAGGGCCTAAGGCAGTGGGGTGAAAAGACCTCACACTGCCACGTTGCACAGCTTACAGACCTGTGCAAGGAGCCCTGCGCTGGACTGCTTTGCCCACCCCCGCCAAGGATATGCTGCTGCAGGTGGGTGAGAAGGATGTGCCTATTAAGACCAGGAGATTGAAGAAGCAGGCAAAATCACTGCAGGAGGATGTGACCTGGGAACTGGTGGTCCTGCGGAGGATGCTGAAGGAATGGAAGACTGCCTGGGCTCTGAGTGAGTGAAGGGAGGTCCTGTGATACTGTACGTTTGTGAGAAGTGGTTCTCATCTGGGACTAGGCTTTCTCAGTCTTTGAAAAATCCATCCCTCCTTTGTGAAATGTAAAAATCTGGTTGCCTCATTAAGGCTAGACAAGAGCCTTTCACACATTGGGTGTTAGATGAACTTCAGTTAACATATATCTGGGTGCTTTTTGCATGGATGGGTATTACTTCAGTAATTTGTGGAAACTCATTATTACACTGCAGACTCTTCAGAGGCAGAGACCATTTTTTTTTTTTTTTTTTTTTTTTTTTTTGGAGACGTAGTTTCGCTCTTGTTGCCTTGGCTGGAGTGCAACGGTGGGATCTCAGCTTACTGCAACCTCTGCTTCCTGGTTTCAAGTAATTCTCCTGCCTCAGCCTCCTGAGTAGCTAGGATTACAGGCACCCGCCACCACACTTGGTTAACTTTTTGTATCTTTGGTAGAGATGGGGTTTCACCATGTTGGCCAGAGTGGTCTCAAACTCCTGACCTCAGGTGATCTGCCCGCCTTGGCCACCGCGCCAGCCCTTTTTTCTTTTTCTGAGATGGAATTTCACTCTGTTGCCCAGGCCGGAGTGCCATGGCACTTGATTTGGGCTCACTGCAACCTCTACCTCCCAGGTTCAAGCGATTCTCCTGCCTCAGCCTCCCAAGTAGCTGGGACTATAGGCATGTGCCATGATGTCTGGCTAATTTTTGTGTTTTTAGTAGAGACACGGTTTCACCATGTTGGCCAGGCTGGTCTCGAACTCCTGACTTCAGGTGATCTCCCCGCCTTGGCCTCCCAAAGTGCTGGGATTACAAGCATAAGCCACTGCACCCAGGCGACCCTATCTTATTGTTTTCCAAACTTTATGCTCAGCAAATGATGTATGAAGGGAAGAACAAAATATGCTGTCCAACCATTGTCCATGTCATAGTTGACTATGGTATCAGCAACCCCTCTCCAAAATTCATTCGTAGAGTTGGGGCTATCCTATACCTACTTTGCCTTCAAAGATAGGAGAGTAGAAGTCTGAGTGCCTGGGACAAAGTAATGGCCTGGCAAGGACTGTTGAAAGCTATGGTATTTGAGAACTCAATAGCTGCTGGCTTTCAGAACATGATAGACAAGCTTAGTTAGTGCAGGAAAAAGAGAGGCAATCCATTAGGTAAACTGGATCAGATAAACAATAACAAAAAAGACTGAAGGAAACACCTACAGATAATAGGAGCTTTGAAATAAAAGTCTGATACCTGCCAAAAGAGTATTTAGCAACTAAAATGAGGAAGATGTTGAAAGCCAAATGGAAGTGCCCTCAAAGACAAAGAACCTAATGAAAACCACAATAGTTAACATTTATTGAACCTTCATTATCTTGCCAGGCATTTTGCTAAACACTTTGTCTAGTTAACTCATTTAACAGTAAGAATAACTCAATATGTGGGTTCTAGTATTATGCCTGTATTACAAATAAGAAATCTCAGGCTCAGGGTTAAGTAACTTATCCACAGTCACACAGCTAATAACTGTGATCCCAAACCAGGTATGTCTGAAAACAAAGTACTCTTAACTACTTTGTTTTATTGTCACTTTTATTTCCCAGATGGTTACAACGAAAAGTGATTTAAAGAAAGAGAGATAGATACGATGGGGTTGGGAGAAGTTTTGTCTGGGAACTTACTTGTGAGGGTACATGGATCATCAGAGAAATAACTCCCTAAAGACCCCATCTCTGGGCCCTTTATTCTTCTGAGCTAATGTTTTGCTTGAATTATTCTGGGTGAAGGGCAGACTTCTTGTCACCTGCCTGCAGCACAATATCTAACCCTAACCAGGTGGTTCTCTTTTCATTTCCCTCACTGCGGCTCAGTCATAGAGTGGCACCATGAGACAGTAGAGAACCTGCTTCAGAGCTTGGGAGACCTGCATGATGACGTTCGGATCAAAGCTATCACCACATGTGCCACAGCTGCTTTGGAACGGCCCCGGATTGCCACCAGCCAGAGAGACTCAGGTGAGAGCCAAAGCTGAACTGCTTGAGAACATAAGCAACTCATAAAGCCATGGAACATCTGAACTGGTAGGGACCCAGGGCTTATCTGAGATCATTTTACAAATGTGGAAACCAAGACTTAGAGACTGGCCTATATATACATGCTTATCAGCAATAGAGACGAGATTAAAATTCCAGACTTCTAGTCCAGTAATTTTTGAACTACATTTCATCACCTTTTGTTTGCTCAGTGGCCTGCAGAGAAGTTAACATTTCCCACCTTGAAGATCCCATTCTTTTTTGTTTTTGTTTTTGGTAGAGACTGTGTCTTGCTATGTTGACCAGGCTAGTCTTGAACTCCTGGCCTCAAGTAATCCTCCCACCTTAACCTCCCAAACTGCTGGGATTACAGGCGTGAGCCACTGTGCCCAGCCAAGAGCCCATTCTTTTTTATTTTATTTTATTTATTTATTTATTTATTTATTTATTTATTTATTTATTTATTTTTGAGACAGAGTCTTGCTCTGTCACCCAGGCTGGAGTGCAGTGGCGCGATCTCTGCTCACTGCAACCTCCACCTCCCAGGTTCAAGCAATTCTCCTGCCCTAGTCTCCCGAGTAGCTGGGACTACATACAGGCGTGTGCCACCATGCCCAGCTCATTTTTTTGTATTTTTAGTAGAGATGGGGTTTCACCATGTTGGCCAGGCTGGTCTTGAACTCCTGACCTCAAGTGATCCACCCACCTCAGCCTCCCAAAGTGCTGGGATTACAGGCATGAGCCACCGCACCTGACAAAATCTTAAAATATGATTCACGGGCTTAGCTGTGCCACTCCTTGGGCAGTCAGCTAACCTCTCTGAGCTTCAAATTACCTATCTATAAAATGAGACTAGTGGTAGACAAAGGGATAACAAACCTTTCCCCTTCCTACTTGAGAATTTGAACTTCAGTTAAATGCCCACCTGTTCCCCTAAACACCTGATAAGAACTATCTTTATAGGCAACATTGGTTATGATATAAATCCTGTTTGATAAATTACATTGGGACTGAGAAGAGCTATAAGTGAAATATAAATACTTGATAGGGACACCATAGTTTGGGCCTCCCTGGATACTGTAACTTATAACAGGCAGGCCCTTTGTGGACCCTAGAATTGTGTCTATGGAGTTTTTATAAGAGATATTAGTTCCTGTAAAGCATAAATTCACCCAGTGAATAAACAACATGCTCCTGTGCTGTCCCCAAGACTCTGTGGAATGCTCAAGACAGCCTCAAGAACTGCAGCCAAAGCCAGGTGTGGTGGCTCACACTTGTAATTCCAGCACTTTGGAAGGCCAAGGCAGGTGGATCACCTGAAGTCAAGGGTTCAAGACCAGCCTGGCCAACATGGTGAAACCTCATCTCTACCAAAAATACAAAAATTAGCCAGGCGTGGTGACAGGTGCCTGTAGTCCCAGATACTCGGAAGGCTGAGGCAGAAGAATCGCCTGAACCCAGGAAGCAGAAGTTGCAGTGAGCCAAGATTGTGCCATTGTACTCCAGCCTGGGCAACAGAGCAAAAACTCTATCTCAAAAAAAAAACAAAAACAAAAACAAAAAAACTCCAGCCAACAGGGATGCCTGATGCTGCTGCCCTGTTGACAAACTATGCTCCTGTCCCATATTCTTCTGGTGCCATGCATGGCCCATGACAGTCTTATGAACCTTACTGTTTAGTTGAACCAAAAAAGACTCCCTAGTGAGCTCTACAATGATACCTACCTTGCCTAATTCAACCAAGGTTGAAAGATAACAAGATAATGTAAAAACACTATATTATAAAGCACTACCTAAATATAATTGTTCTTACAAATATAAAGGCTCAGCTGGGGGCGGTGGCACACGTCTGTAATCCCAGCACTTTGGGAGGCTGAGGCAGGTGGATCACAAGGTCAGGAGATCGAGACCATCCTGGCTAACACGGTGAAATCCCATCTCTACTAAGAATACTAAAAATTAGCTGGGTGCCTGTAGTCCCAGCTACTCGGGAGGCTGAGGCAGGAGAATGGTGTGAACCCAGGAGGCGGAGCTTGCAGTGAGCTGAGATCACACCACTGCACTCCAGCCCAGGTGACAGAACAAGACTCCGTCTCAAAAAATATATAAAATAAATAAATATATATATATATATATATATATATATATATATATATATATATATATATATATATATGGGCTCATGGGGCAAATTGGTTGCTTTTAATCACTAAAACTAATGGTGTAGTTCACTGTAGCCTAGCTGGAAACATTCTTCTTCGGCTTAAATATAGCTGTTTAGAGGCCAGATGATAAAGGATTGGGAATTGGCATACCAGCACACAGGTGAGCTTTAACACCTTGAGCAGAAAATCCTGCCCATCTGAAGGGCTCAGCTAAACTGTAATTATATTACATAGCACTAAGCAACTGCAGCTGGGACTGAGGTTGGCCACCACATGGCTGTAGGAAGGAAGCTGTGTGTGAGAAAAGCAAAGGGGCTAGTACTCTCTTACCTGGCTCTTTTGATCACAGACAAGACCATCCAGGACTTGCCGGAGGTTCTACTGCCTGCCCTAGAGGCTGCTCTTTGTGACAAGAATGCCCATGTGCGGATGGCAGCAGCAATATGCCAATATGCCATACAGTCACATAATCCCCTTGCCCGGAACATCATGCAGACTGCCCTTCTGAAGGGTGAGTAACTCCCTGTTACTTCTGACCTGGAAATATGGGATAGACATCTCACTATCAGCTTTCCCAGTCCTTTCCTCTCCACTGTGATGCTCTGCAATGTCTGCTGTATTGGGTTTAGATTTATGTTAGACCATTTGAAAATTAGGACCAGACACTGTCGCTCACACCTGTAATCCCAGCACTTTGGGAGGCCAAGGCGACAGGATCACCTGAGCATAGGAGTTCTAAACCAGCCTGGGCAACATAACAAGACCCCATCTCTATAAAAAATTTTAAAATTAGCCAGGTGCGGTGGTGTGCTCCTGTAGACCCAGCTACCTAGGAGGCTGAGGCAGACCTATATATACATGCTTATCAGAGTCAGCTTGAGCCCAGGGGGTTGAAGCTGCAATAAGCCACAATGGTGCCACTGTACTCCAACCTGGGTGACAGAGCAAGACCCTGTCTCTAAAAAAAAGGAAAAAAAGAAAATTTGCTCTTTCTAGGTACTTTAACAAAACAGGTACACTGCCACCAAGTGGTAGCTGGACTAAATTTTTTTTTTTTTTTTTTTTTTTTTTGAGACAGAGTTTCACTCTCGTTGCCCAGGCTGGAGTGCAATGGTGGGATCTCAGCTCACACTGCAACCTCCGCCTCCTGGGTTCAAGCAATTCTCCTGCCTCGGCTTCCCAAGTAGCTGGGATTACAGGCGCATGCCACCACGCCTGGCTGATTTTTGTATTTTTAGTAGAGATGGGGTTTTACCATGTTGGCCAGGCTGGTCTTGAACTCCTGACCTTAGGTGATCCGCCCACCTTGGCCTCCCAAAATGTGAGGACTACAGGTGTTAGCCACCGTGCCCAGCCAATATGATTCTTCTCAATATGGTTTAAATAAGAAATTGTATTTCTAGACTGAGTGGGGCACAAGGAAGTGAGATATCAGGTGGGGTAGCAGCCTTGGGTATCAATCCAAAGGCTGTTCTCTAGGGGGAAAACACATCACCATTCTGAACTCTTTTTCACCCAACTGTGGCAGGTAACAGTGTGGATAGCTGGGCTGCAGCTCAGTGCTTGGCTCTGGAAGGTACTGCTACTTACCCTGTGATTAAGAGGATCCTCCACCAGCTGTTTACAAAGAAGAATGAGGACACTGAGGAACAGTCTTATATCCTCCTGAGCTATCTGAGTGAGAAGACAGTATGTGTCCATTACCGGGTCAGACACAGTTTTGGGGAGCAATTAGGTCTTTGAGGTCAGTGAATGTAAGCAATCTGAAATGCAGCTGGGGCCGGGGCAGTGGCTTATGCCTGTAATCCCAACACTTCGGGAGGCCGAGGCAGGTGGATCACTTGAGGTCAGGAGTTCGAGACCAGACTGGCCAACATGGGTGAAACCTCATCTCTACTAAAAATAAAAAAATTAGACAGGTGCAGTGGTACCACACTGAGTAGTCCCAGCTACTCGGGAGGCTGAGGCATGAAAATCACTTCAGCCTGGGAGGTGAAGGTTGCAGTGAGCTGAGATCACGCCACTACACTCCAGCCTAGGTGACAGAGCAAGACTCTGTCTCAAACAAATAAAATAAAATGCAGCTGGGCTGGGCATGGTCGCTCACGCCTGTAATCCCAGCACTTTGGGAGGCTGAGGTGGGAGTATCCCTTGAGTCCAGGATTTCAAGACCAGCCTGGGCAATATAGTGAGACCCTGTCTCTACAAAAAAAGAAATAAAATTAGTCAGGCATGGTGGTATGTGCCTGTAATCCTAGCTACTCAAGAGGCTGAGGTGGGAGGATCACTTGAGCCTGGCAGGTTGGGGCTGCAGCGAGCTGAGATCACACCACTGTACTCCAGCCTGAGCGACAGAGCAAGACCCTGCCTCAAAAAATTAATTACACAATTAATTAATTAGATAAAATGCAGCCGGTTGGGTTGACAATCTCAAGCATAAGTAAACGTAGAATAAGCATGAGTAAACCTGGGTGTAGAGGTGTATACAAAGGGAAGTCACAATAGTTAGCTGAGAGAAAAGTGAGAATTAGGTTGCAAATGGTCTCTATTTGCATATGCAAGAAGAGTTCTGACATGTAGAATTTGCTTCTGCTAGAAGTTTACCATTGAAAACTGCAGAGGCCTATATTTGTGTTTAGTTACTTTCAATAGAAATGTGAAAGTCATAAGCTTGAGGCATATAAAAATCATTTTAGGGGTAAAAACAGTTAAAGACAGAAGGCCGGGCACGGTGGCTCACGCCTGTAATCCCAGCACTTTGGGAGGCCGAGGCAGGCAGATCACCTGAGGTCAGGAATTCAAGACCAGCCTGGCACCAACATGGTAAAACCCCGCCTCTACTAAAAATACAAAAATTAACCGGGCGTGGTGGCAGGCGCCTGTAATCCCAGCTACTTGGGAGGCTGAGGCAACAGAATCACTTGAACCCGAGAGGCGGAGGTTGCAGTGAGCCGAGATTGTGCCACTGCACTCCAGCCTGGGGGACAACCTTCTCAGAAAAAAAAAAAAAAAAAAAAACAGTTAAAGTCAGGAAAGGAAGGTCCCAGTTTTCTGTTTAAGTTATTAAATTTGTATTTTGTTCCCCAATTTATGATCCCAGAGTCAGTTGGCTGTGATGGAAACATGCCCCATCTCTTGTAAGCCCACTGGTGACATTAATTATGCAGGATGCCATTTCAGAATGTAACTTCAAGGTTCTAGTATCTCTAAAAGTGATTGTGAATATCCATACAAGTCTTCCATTTCCTCAGACCCTGATACACACCATGCTTGCTGTGGAGCTGAACAGCTGTCAATGGAAGAACCGGATTGTGGCCTGCCAGGCTTTCTCCCGGATCAGTGGAAATGTCTGCTTGGTAAACCTCTTTCTTTGCCTCCAGGACAGAAAGCCTAAGAGAGGCTGAGCTACAGAGGCCTTCTACTTTTTGCTGCTATGTATTATTCCATTCTTACCAAACAGATCTCTGTTCCCACATCACTACTTCTTACTTCTAGCCCAGAATTATCTTCAAATGCTAATATGTCTGTCTGGAAGCCAATGCTTCTCAGTGCACTGGTGGTCCATAAACTGTTGGTAACTGATCCACAATGAAATAGCACAAAAACTGACAGGAGTTTAGAAACGTTTATAGTAGGCCGGGTGCGGTGGCTCACATCTGTAATCCCAGCACTTGGGGAGGCCAAGGCAGGCGGATCACGAGGTCAGGAGTTGGAGACCAGCCTGACCAACATGGTGAAACTCCATCTCTACTAAAAATACAAAAATTAGCAGAGTGTGGTGGCACGCGCCTATAATCCCTGCTACTTGGGAGGCTGAGGCAGGAGAATCGCTTGAACCCAGGAGGCAGAGGTTGCAGTGAACCAAGATCTCACCACTGCTCTCTAGCCTGGGTGACAGAGGGAGACTCCATCTCAAAAAAAAAAAAAAAAAAGAAACGTTTATAGTAATTTGATATTGCCTCAATATCAACAGACTTTATCAGTCAATGACATATTTCCCCCCCGCCAAAATTGGTTCTTCATCAAAGATCATTCGAGAAGCACTGACTTAGACTACCCAAAAACCCATCTAAATGAGTGTCTGTGCTGCTTCTCAGAGTGTTCGGCACACACATATAAAACATAGTCCCGGCCGGGCACGGTGGCTCACACCTGTAATGCCAGCACTTTGGGAGGCCAAGGCAGGTGGATCAGAGCTCAGGAGTTTCAGACCAGCCTGGCCAACATAGTGAAATCCTATCTGTACTAAAATACAAAAATTAGCCAGGTGTGGTGGCTGGCACCTGTAATCCTAGCTACTTGGAAGGCTGAGGCACAAGAATTGCTTGAACCTGGGAGGGAGAGGTTGCAGTGAGCCGAGATCGCACCACTGCACTCCAGCCTGGGCGACAGTGCGAGACTCTGTCTCAAAAAACAAAACAAAAAAAAACAAAACAAAAAAACCATTGTCCCAACTTTCACAAAATTAACACTATGGTAGGAACAATAAGACTAATATACACAAATGATTCAAGAACAAGCAATAAATATAAGGTACCCTTTTAAAACTTTTCAGAGAGAGAGAGATTAGTGTGGGTTAAATTTATTGGTTAAAGTTCTGTGAAGGGGTCCGGTACGGTGGCTCATGCCTGTAAGCCCAGCACCTTGGGAGGCTGAGGCGGGTGGATCACTTGAGACCAGGAGGTTGAAACCAGCCTGGTCATCATGGCAAAACCCCATCTCTAATTAGCTGGGCATGGTGGCACACACCTGTCATCCCAGCTACTTGGAGGCTGAGGCAGGAGAATCGCTTAAACCTGGGAGGCGGCGGTTTCAGTGAGCCAAGATCGTGCCACTGCACTCCAGCCTGGGCGACAGAGCGAGACTCCATCTAAAAAAAAAAACAAACCAACTGTCGGTGAAGATGGTGGGGCTCAGCTAGAACTAAAGAGGGAATTCCAGGCAACACTTCGTTTTTGCCATTATTTCCCAATCATCTTCAGCTGTCCAAATGGGAGCTTTCCCTTCTTCCTATGTGCTACTTCATCTTTTCCTTATAACTTTGGATATCTCCAGAATAGCCCAGAACATTGCCATTCCCATGATAAGTGAACAACCTCCACTCTGTAACCCTGACATTTTGATATGGGAAGCACAAAATCTGGCCACTCAGTACAGTAATCACCTGAAAAGGTTTTGGACTTGGGTTAGTTCTGTCTCAAGTGCTATAGCACCCTGCTGCTAAAGTCCTGGACCAGCAGCACAGGCGTCACCTAGGAGCATTATTAGAAATGCAAAAATCGGCCGGGCACAGTGGCTCGCACCTGTAATCCCAGCACTTTGGGAGGCCAAGGAGGGCGGATCACGAGGTCAGGAGATCGAGACCATCCTGGCTAACACGGTGAAACCCTGTCTCTACTAAAAATAAAAAAAATTAGGCGGGTGTGGTGGCAGGCACCTGTAGTCCCAGCTCCTCGGGAGGCTGAGGCAGGAGAATGGCGTGATCCCAGGAGGTGGAGGTTGCAGTGAGTTGAGATCGCACCACTGCGCCCCAGCCTGGGCAACAGAGCGAGGCTCCGTCTCAAAAAAAAAAAAAAAATTAGCCAGGCTTGGTGGCACATGCCCATAATCCCAGCTACTCAGGAGGCTCAGGCAGGAGAGTCACTTGAACCCAGGAGGCGGAGGTTGCAGTGAGCCGAGATCGTGCCATTGCACTCCAGCCTGGGCAACAAGAGTGAAACTCCGTCTCAAAAAAAAAAAAAAAAAAGAAATGCAAAAATCTCATCTTAAGCCAGCTCAATCAGAATCTGCATCTTAACAATATCATTTTAACAACTTCCAATTCATTTGTACCTTCACCTCCTTGGCACTTGTCACTTAGAATTGACAACTGAAAGTAAAAAGACATGCAGAGCTAGCAGGGGTTGAGGTAAAGATGATGAGGACTTCATGGCAGATTGCTGGAGCTAAGAAAGGCAGTATGTCTATGAGTCTTTTCACTCATTCAGTAAGCATGCAGTTTCTGACCACATCCGACGCACTAGGCACTATGCTACCCCTGGGGGTGCAGGGATAAGTCTTCCGTTAGTAAATGTTACAAATAGCTAGAACAGAAGCAGCTATAAGGTGTTGTGGGGATTTCCTGTGCTTACAAGGGGCAAAGAAGACTTCACTAAGGAGATGTTTTTATTTTATTTTTTAAAATTTTTAATAAAAGAGATAGGAAGGAGATGCTTTTGAGGTAAATCCTAAAGGAAGACTACAAAGACATCAAGTACCAGGTAGGAGTAGAGAAGGGAGATACTTCTAGCAGGAAGAACAGCGTGGGCACATTTACACATCATCGTGTAGTAATCTTTGCCCATTCCTCTCTGAGAGAAGTGCACTTATAGAGTGACCAACTGTTCTGGTTTGTCCAGGCCATGGGACTTTCAGGACCAAAACCAGGAGAGTCCCAGGCAAACTGCAATGAGCTAGTCACTTCATCAAGTATCACTTTCAAATTTTAAGTCTCCCAGGTACAAGTTATGTTGGCACTGATACT
The DNA here is from genome assembly GCF_000001405.40 of Homo sapiens. Taxonomy (NCBI): domain Eukaryota; kingdom Metazoa; phylum Chordata; class Mammalia; order Primates; family Hominidae; genus Homo; species Homo sapiens. The sequence continues at coordinate 73,503,299 of NC_000014.9, read as the reverse complement.
ACATAGTTTAAAGGATGAGCTTGGGAGAGTTGGGTTTGAGTCCTGGTTCCAGCACTCACCAGGTTAACCTTGGACAAGCTGATCAAAGCCTCCATTCTATCATCTGTAAATGGTAGTAATATCTGCCCCACTGGATTCTTTGGGAGAGTAAGCGATGGGAAAAAACACTCAGGACAATCCTCATTAGTACAGTGATGAGTAAAAAAAGAAGAAAAAACAGCACAACGCCAAGCACAAAATTAACATTCATTAAGTGATGATACCTAATGATCATACCTATTTATAGGATATGAAACATAAGTTGATCCAGCTGATGTGGAATGACTGGAATAAGGAAGTGAGGAGAGCAGCTGCACAGGCGCTTGGGCAAATGAGCCTCGGGAAAGAGGTGCACGACATAATCAGGTAAGACCCAGTCAACATGAGGAGACACTCTTCTAAATTCTTAGAAGTGTTTAGGAGGCAGGCTGGGCAAGGTGGCTCCCAACACTTTGGGAAGACGGGGTGGGCGGATCACGAGGTCAGGAGATCGAGACCATCCTGGCTAACACAGTAAAACCCTGTCTTTACTAAAAATACAAAAAATTAGCCAGGCGTGGTGGCACATGCCTGTCATCCCAGCTACTCGGGAGGCTGAGACAGGAGAATCGCTTGAACCTGGGAGGCGGAGGTTGCAGTGAGCAGAGATCGCGCCACTGCACTCCAGCCTGGCAACAGAGCAAGACTCCGTCTCAAAAAAAAAAAGTGCTTAGGAGGCCTGGGATCCAGCCACCCAGCATTTGTTGAGCTCCTCTGTACGGACCCTGGACCAGGTCCCACTGTAAAAAATTAACAGTCCCTACAAACTAACAATGTGGCTAGGGAAAGAAGCATTGAGTGCCCAGTAGGTGTGAGGCAATGGTTTCGGTGCTGGAGGGTGTTCAAAAGTATGACGCAATTCTGATGACCACATGCAAAATATACAAACACCTAATTAAAAATACCAAATCATTAAAAACTAGAACAAATGGCATATACCATAACTGCTGGAGCAGAAAAATGGAATACTCAGCGTGGCTAGAGGAGTAAGGCCAAGTTTCACAGAGGGTGGATAAGACTGCACAGGAGGCCCAGCCCAGTGGCACACGCCTGTAATCCCAATACTTTGAGACTCTGAAGCAGGAGGATCAATTGAGCCCAGGAGTTCGAGACCAGCCTGGGCAACATAGCAAGACCTTGCCTCTACTAAAAATTAAAAAAAAAAAAAAAAAAAATTGGCCGGGCGCAGTGGCTCACTCCTGTAATCCCAGCACTTTGGGAGGCCGAGGCGGGTGGATCACAAGGTCAGGAGATCGAGACCATCCTGACTAACATGGTGAAACCCTGTCTCTACTAAAAATACAAAAGGGCGTGGTGGCGGGCGCCTGTAGTCCCAGCTATTCGGGAGGCTGAGGCAGGAGAATGGCGTGAACCTGGGAGTTGGAGCTTGCAGTGAGCGGAGATCACGCCACTGTACTCCAGCCTGGGCGACAGAGTGAGACTCCGTCTCAAAAATAATAATAATAAAATAAAATAAAAAGTTAGCCAGTGTGGTGGTGTATGCCTGTAGTCCCAGCTACTTGGGAGGCTGAGGCAAGAGGACTGCCTGGGTCCAGGAAGTCCAAAGCTGTCATGAGCCATCATCATGCCACTGCATTCCAGCCTGGGCAACAGAGAAAGACCCTATCTCAAAAAAAAAAAAAAAAAAAAAAGAGAGAGAGACTGCATAGGAGCCGCAGAGTGGGTAAGTGCCTATAATCCCAGCTACTCAGGCTGAGGCAGGAGAATCACTTGAGGTCAGGAGTTCAAGACCAGCCTGGGCAACATAGCAAGACCCCATCTCTAAAAATAATTTAAGGCCGGGCGCGGTGGCTCATGCCTGTAATCCCAGCACTTTGGGAGGCCGAGGCGGGCAGATCACGAGGTCAGGAGATCAAGACCATCCTGGCTAACATAGTGAAACCCCATCTCTACTAAAAATACAAGAAAAACAAAATTAGCCAGGCGTGGTGGTGGGCGCCTATAGTCCCAACTACTCAGGAGGCTGAGGCAGGAGAATGGCGTGAACCCAGGAGGCGGCGCTTGCAGTAAGCCAAGATCCAGCCACTGCACTCCAGCCTGGGCAACAGAGCGAGACTCCATCTCAAAAAAATAATAAAATAAATAAAAATAATTTAAACAAACAAACAAAAAGACTGCATAGGCATTCCAGGCTGGAAGCCAAATGCAGACATAATCATGGCACACGTGAGGGCAATGGAGAAGAGAACTTGACTGTGAAAAGAGGTGCAAGTTGACATTTTCCTTTATTCAGTCATTCAGTGTAACTGAAAGCCCTGCATTACCTAATTACTGAACAGCTATGTATTAGGGATTCAAGTAAAGAAGACAATCGAGCTCTGTACCCAGTAAAACTTATCTCATGAGCATAAGGCTGAATGGGATTGACAGCCTACAGAACCCGGATTTTATCATGAGGGCATTAGTGGGGGTTGGGGGTTAGGTACTGAAAGTTTAAGGAGGTGAAAGGAAAGCAACTTGTGCCTTACAGGGTCAAGCTAGGTCAAGGAAATTCCCAGGAGCGTGTGGAAGCTCTCTACCTGATAGGTGAGCTCAAGCTTATGACCGCCAAGCTTCTCCCAAGCTTCCTGCACTGCTTCTCTGATGACTTCACAGCAGTTCGGCGGGCAGCCTGTTTGGCAGCTGGTGCCCTGCAGATCCGCGACAAGATGGTGAGTCAGGGAAACATATTCTCATCTTACCTGATTGACCTGAAGAGGGCATTACCTTCCCTGGTTGTGCACAGTATGCTCAACATTCTGTGGGGACACAGAATGAGAGATTGGAACTGGGAAGGGGGTGTATAAGCCACTTCAAACAGGACTGTTTCAGGGGCATCCAATCTTTTGGCTTCCCTGGGCCACAATGGAAGAATTGTCTTGGGCCACATATAAAGTACACTAACACTAACGATAGTTGATGAGCTAAAAAAAAAAAAAAAAGGTCCGTGCATAATTCTCATGGTTTTTTTGTTTGTTTGTTTGTTTGTTTTGAGACGGAGTCTCGCTCTGTGACCCAAGCTGGAGTGCAGTGGCGCCATCTCGGCTCACTGCAAGCTCCGCCTCCCAGGTTCACGCCATTCTCCTGCCTCAGCCTCCTGTGTAGCTGGGACTACAGGCACCTGCCACCACACCTGGCTAATTTTTTTGTGTTTTTAGTAAAGATGGGGTTTCACCGTGTTAGCCAGGATGGTCTCGATGTCCTGACTTCGTGATCCGCCCGCCTCGGCCTCCCAAAGTGCTGGGATTACAGGCGTGAGCCACCGCGCCTGGCATAAATCTCATGTTTTAAGAAAGTTTACAAATTTGTGTTGGGCCGCATTCCAAGTTGTCCTAGGCCACATGTTGGACAAGCTTGGTTTAGCTCCCAGCCAGCCCAGACTTCGATTCTAGAGCACACCCCTGAATCCTGTTCTCACCTCAGTTAACTAGCTTCTCATTACCTGGGTGCTGATGGGCTTTAGGATCAACTCCCATAAATGGAGTTATAATTCCATTATTAGGGAAAAATCTGTTTGAAGTGTTCAAGAGAAGCCATATGGCCCCAGATCTGTAGACTGAGAAAATCAATAGCAGATAATTCAGCTAATGTACTCACTATGCATATAGGTTGGTACTTTAGGCTCCAGCTCATTTGTCACCAGAATTGATAGGTCATTTTTCAATTATAGCTCCTTTTAGAGATAAGTGGTTTCCCTGTTTCTGATTCATTCTTTTGCTTTGTTTTGTTTTTTTGCTTTTTTGAGATGGAGACTCGCTCTGTCACCCAGGCTGGAGTACAGTGGCACGATCTCAGCTCACTACAACCTCCGCCTCCCAGGTCCAAGCAATTCTCCTACCTCAGCCTCCGAGTAGCTGGGATTACAGGCGTGTGACACCATGCCCGGCTAATTTTTGTATTTTTAGTAGAGACAGGGTTTCACCATGTTGGCCAGGCTGGTCTCAAACTCCTGATGTCAAGTGATCCGCCCACCTTGGCATCCCAAAATGCTGGGATTACAGGGGTGCACCACCGCACCCAGCTGTTTCTGGTTCATTCTTGCTCTGGTCCTCCCCACTCAACACTGCCTTTTCCATCCCAGGTGCTTGAATGCCTCCTGAACCTGATGCAGAGAGATCCTTACTGGAAAATCAAGGCCTTTGCCATTCGAGGTATTATAGAAGTAGTGCCCCAAACTCTTCAACCTTAAATACCTTTGCCTATGCAAGTAGAAATGATCCCCTGAAACTCTCTAATGGGGTGAAGTGCAGGAGAGGTAATGATCTTAGCTTTTCAGAAGTTCCTTGTCTGAAAAGAGAAAGATAATTTTCTTCAATTTTTAGTGAAAGATCCTGAGTCTAGGTATATGTCAAACTTAAGTTAAAGAAAGGGCTGACAAGACAGTCCCTGCCAACAGAATTAAGGATAAGTTCCAAGTAGGTATCCAGTGCTGGATGCATCTTGCTTTCCTTGGAGATCTCAACTATTACGCTCTGCAAAAGTCAGATCAGTTTCAAGACTGCTACAGACCTAAAACCCTGCCCCTTAATCTGCCTAGTTTCTTTTTAGAATCTTTGGCATTGCTTCTCTTTTTGACATAGATAAATAATTGTGCCTCCTTTCCCCATCACCCTGCTGGGACTAGGCAGGTCTTCCATGTTATTTGTTCTATATTTCATCCCAAAATAGGCAAATATCCTAACAGGCAAGGATGGGATGGAACATCCCTCTTCTAGGAATCCTTTGGAGGTAATGTCCCATTCTGACCTATCCCTAAAATTCTAATGGTGATTACCATCCAAAAGGGAAGGTATTGTTTGCAAAACTCAATTTATTTCTGGATGCTAGAATATAGTAAGCTCAGTCTTCAGTGACATGCTGCCCTCTAATCTCTGCAGCTTTGGGACAGATTGGGCAAGTAAGTCCCGAGCTGACGGATCTTCTGCTCTGGGCTATCCACTATGAAGAGTCACCAGGTGTACGGCTGGAAGCTTGCCGTAGCATCCTAGCCCTGAAACTTCAAGGGGACCGGGTCAGGGACACCTTCCTAGACGTGCTGCTCCTGGAGAACCACGATGCTGTTCTAAAGTAAGCACTAAACCTCTGGCTCCCACCATGACCTTATACTGCCAACTCTCACATCTTTGCTCATTGAATATGTCCCTGCCTTTCCAGGCTACCTAATGGCAGTAAAAGCACTGGTTCACCTGCACATTCACCACTCACCCAAGTAGGTAACTGAAAAACTGGCCTAAATTAGATTGAAAGTCAAGCTTATGTAGTTCATGCATCTTTTCTCCCCACCAGGATGGGTTTTGGCCGGGTGTGATGACTCACGCCTGTAATCCCAGCACTTTGGGAGGCTGAGGCAGGAGGATCACCTGAGGTCGGGAGTTTGAGACCAGCCTGACCAAAATGGAGAAACCCTGTCTCTACTAAAAATACAAAATTAGCCAGGCATGGTGGCACATGCCTGTAATCCCAGCTACTAGGGAGGCTGAGGCAGGAGAATCACTTGAACCTGGGAAGTGGAGGTTGCGGTGAGCCGAGATGGTGCCATTGCACTCCAGCCTGGGCAACAAGAGCAAAACTCCGTCTCAAAAAAAAAAAGGATGGGTTTTAAGTTATTCATATATTCAACTAACATTTATCAAATGCCTATTGGGACAACAAGTTTTAGAGTCAAAAAGACCAGGGTTTGAATTCCAGCTCTGGCATGCAATAGCTATGTGAGCCCGTGTAAGGTATTTAAACTCTGTGAGCCCATTTTTTTCATGTATCAAATGCAGGTGATAGTCTACATTATAGGGTTGTGGTGATAATTAATGAGATGACATGTTTAGCGCCTGTCATAAAGGTGTTCAGTAAATGGTACCTATTGGCACCTTCAAATATATTGTCTTGGCCAGATGAGGTGGCTCACATCTGTAATCCCAACACTTTGGGAGGCTGAGGCAGATGGATCACCTGAGGTCAGGAGTTCTAGACCAGCCTGGCCAACATGGTGAAACCTGTCTCTACTAAAAATACAAAAATTAGACGGGCATGGCCGGGTGCAGTGGCTCACACCTGTAGCCCCAACACTTTGGGAGGCCAAGGCGGGTGGATCACCTGAGGTCAGGAGTTCTAGACCAGCCTGGCCAACATGGTGAAACCCCATCTCTACTAAAAATACAAAAACTAGCTGGGCATGATGGCACGCGCCTGTAGTCCCAGCAACTCAGGAGGCTGAGGCAGGAGAATCGCTTGAACCTGGGAGGTGGAGGTTGCAGTGAGCCGAGACGAGATCGTGCCATTGCACTCCAGCTCTGGGAAACAGAGCAAGACTCCATCTCGCAAAAACAAAAAGTAAACAAAAAACCCACAAATATATTGTCTCAAAAACTGCACATTATTCCTGTAAGCTAAGCATTATACCATTTTTGCATATAAGGCTCAGCAAAACTGCACAGTTAGGATTGGAACTTGGGATTCTTACCTGATTCCAAGTCCTATATTTTCTACCCCCATACTTTTTTAAAGGGCAGGGTAGAATAATCTAAGAAGCCCTTCTTATCTTTCAGAGAAATGTACCAGACAATGAAGATACTCAACTTAGGAAATGAAGGAAACCAAGAAATGCTTCAGGAGATCAAGAACAGGGTAAATAAGTGCAAGCTCTGTTCTCAAGAGAAAATTCAGGACTCTCAAGAGTTCCTCAGACCCTGTCCTCCTCAAACATGTACATACCCTTTTTCCCACCATAGAAGTACTTTCTAAAACCCCAGACACAGATGCCACATCATTTGAAGATGCAAAGCATCTGTGCAAGATTGGGTTACAAGGTCCTACTAGTAAAGACAAAAACAAAACAAAAATCCTATTAGTCCTATCAAGTAACCCTCATTGTTTCAGAAATACTATTTCCCTCCCTTCCTATTTTCTCCCCATCAACCCCAAACCCAAGTTGTTTATTTTTCCTTTTTTTCAAATAGGCATAGAGAAGGAATAAGGGACTAGAGCTGGCCCCCTAGATTTTCTTCTTAATTTTTCTGAATTCCTAATCTGGGTTTTCTCACCAAAGAAAATCTCTAGCTGAAAGGATTAACATAATTTTTGCTTTTTTTTTTGAGGGGGGGACAGTCTCGCTCTGTCGCCCAGGCTGGAGTGCAGTGGTGTGATCTTGGCTCACTGCAACCTCCACCTCCTGGGTTCAAGTGATTCTCGTGCCTCAGCCACCAAAATAGCTGGGATTATAGGCATGTGCCACCACACCCAACTAATTTTTTTGTATTTTTAGTGGAGACAAGGTTTTGCTATGTTGGCCAGGCTGGTCTTGAACTCCTGGCCTCAAGTGATCCACCCGCCTCAGCCTCCCAAAGTGCTGGGATTACAGGCATGAGCCATCATGCCTGGCCTGGATTGTTCTAATTTTTCAAAGCTGTTAGATAAGATGAAGGAATAGAGGGGAAAGGACTTTAAAAAGGTAATTCAAGAAACCAACTTCACATCAAGCAAGCAATTCTTAGCAGGTTCATCATGCCCAAAAAGCTGAAGTAAAATTTTCACGAACAGGTATAAAAAATCTCCAACCAATATCATAAGAGAACAATGTTCTCAGGCACTTATGTACCACCTACTACTGATAAGCATATGCAATTAGTTACTTCTTTATTTTCTAGAGACAGGGTCTCACTTTGTTGCCCAGGCTGGAGTGCAGTGGCATGATCACAGCTCACTGTAGCCTTGAACTGTTGGGCTCAAGTGATCCTCCCTCCTCAGCCTCCTACAATCACTTTATTAATGTTTTTTGATAATTTGCTGCCTAGTACAGGTGTTTTGTTTTGTTTTTCAAACATTATTTGTTCTAATTTAGATTAAAACACTAAGCCAAAAGGACTTGCTGACACACAAAATACTCAAGCTGGAGATGGTCATGGGAAAAGTGAGGGAGGAAGCAAAACGTGTTTACTTGAAACCCAAAGGAGAACAAGGACCACTAACACTCCAGACTTTACTCCAAGAAACTTTTCAGGGTAGGTTTCCTAGGGGTGAGTTCCATGCCTTGATTCCTTTAATAAGCCTCTTCCAGGATCTGGATGTTTTGGGACTTAGTAGCAAGCCTTAGAGGATGAAAGAGTCAGGAAAGGGTACTCTCTTCCCTCTTGGCTACCATCCACTCAGTCTTTGTGTTTTTTTTTTGTTTGTTTGTTTCTCGGGTTTTTATTCATTTATTTTCTCCCTTAAAAAAAAGTTATCTCTATTTGAACTGACTTAAAAGTTAGGTCAAAAAAGGACATATCAGAAAAACACAAGTCTTTATAAAACAATACTACCATGTATGTTTGACTAAGCACTCAAAAAAGCTTTATGAGCTTAACCTTAATAGTGGTAGTGGTTGGTGGTTGGGCGTGGTGGCGCACACCTGGACTCTCAGTGCTTTGGGAGGCCATGGTGGGAGGATCACCCCAGGCCAGGAGTTCAAAACCAGTCTGGGCAACATAGCAAGACCCCTCCATCTCTACAAAAAAATAAATAAATAAAAATTATCTGGGTGTGGTGGCACACACTGGTAGTCCTATCTACTAAGGAGGCTGAGATGGGAGGATTGCTTGAGCCCAGGAGGTTGAGGCTGCAGTAACCCAATATCTCACCACTGTACCCCAGCCTGGGCAACAAAGTGGGACCCTGTCTCAAACAAAAAAACAAACAAACAAAAAATAGTGCTTGTCTCTGGAAAGTGGGGTTGGAGGGAGAACTATCATTTTTACTTAGTGTATGTCTATGCTTTTGTAACTTTTTTAAAAAGAATTTGTAAAGTTCTCAACCTTAAATAACAGAAAACTATCCATTATGGTGACAGACTCTTAAGAGTCCCAGACGCAACCTAAATGATGAGGGTGCAGAAATCAAACTGTACCAAAATATACTTACAAAATCTGTGTGCCTGAGCGTAGCATCAGCCTCAGGTCACTCAGCCAGCTGCCTACCAGCTACCACCCCAAACCCAGGTCTTCTGGTTCCAAGTCCAGTGCTCTTTCTGGTACATCAGGCACTTTTCCACCAACCATGAGAATATTCACTTGTCAGATTTGGGGAAGTTTCTTCGAACTGCCAGAATAAAAATGAGAGTGGAAAGTAACTTGAACAGTAGCCTTCCTTCATGGCCAGCTTGCTAAAAGTTGGTTGCCTAAGGTCTATGAAGGCACAACTAGGTGACATGCTGCCCTTATGACAGCAGTGCCAGCCATGGATGTAAGCAAACAGTGAGCAAAAACATACCATGATCTTAAAACTGAACAAGCTGGTAGAAAATAATTTTTCTACTAGAATTGGGTTGCATAATTAAATAGCATAAATTATCCCCAAAGTTAGTGAACTGGTCCCAATCAGATAAGATTCTTTTTTGTTTTTGTTTTTGTTTTTGAGACGGAGTCTCGCTCTGTTGCCCAGGCTGGAATGCAGTGGCATGATCTCAGCTCACTGCAACCTCCACCTCCCAGGTTCAAGTGATCCTCCTGCCTCAGCCCCCCTAGTAGCTGGGATTACAGGCACGCACCACTATGCCTGGCTAATTTTTGTATTCTCACTAGAGATGGGGTTTTGCCATGTTGGCCAGGCTGGTCTCAAACTGCTGACCTCAGGTGATCCACCCGCCTCGGCCTCCTAAAGTGCTAGGATTACAGGCATGAGTACCGCACCCAGCCTGAGAGTCTCTTCCTTAAGAGGTTGATTAACATGCTCCTTTTACATGCTACAACCACCCCAGGTTGCTTTTCACTTCAGCCATTATAGATTTTCCCTATCTTCCTCCCGCTCCTGCATTTCTTCGAACCATCCCACATAATAATCTAGCCTTAGGAAAGGGAAACATTCTTTGGCACTTTAATAACTTTTCTAAGGTTCATACAAATTTAACAATAACAAACAGGATACTGACCCCGACCCGCCCATGAAAAAGAACTCAGATGAAAGATCCAAATTCCAAAAAAAATCTAATATCTGTCTCAAGCAGAACGACATGGTCAGTGTTACCCAGTACACTGAAGCCTGAAGGTGATGAAGTTGGTGCTCTGAAATGATCACGGATCAAGGGTTTTTTTTCCACCTCCAACTTCTCCTTTTCCTTTTGTACCTAGATGAGATGGTTCTTCCTAGAAGACCTTCCGAGGTTTGTGACACTGAAGCAGTGATAAAGGTAAATGTGAGCACACTGATGCTTATCAAGGTAAGAACGTGAGTTTAAGGAAAAAAAAAAAAAAAAGGTAGCAGTGGCAGCGGAGAATCACTACTGCCTTGTTTCCAGCAATCAACAAGAAACTAATTTAGGGCTAGAGGCATCTTAGTGAGCAGCAGCCCCTTATCATACAACGTGGTTGCCAAGGACAGCTGGTCCTCCACACTGTCACAGGGCAGGTCCCCCACTCTCACAAACTCTGGATAAGAACCAAGCAACAGTTCCATGGCATCAGCTTGCTGGGGGTATATTTCCAAGCACTTGGGTTCTTCCAGATGATACACACGGGAGTTTTCCACTGTGTAATAGAGAAACAAATGGCCCCCCTCACCCACCAGCCGAGCTATCCCATCCTGAAGCATATGGACTTCTGTTTCTGTTGTCAACTGGGCCCCCACGTTTACAGGTTCTCCAGCCTCCCAGCGAATTGGAAGCCCGTAAACACTTAGTGCCCTCTCCCTATCAGTCAAAACAGGGGGCAGAGAATCGTGAATGAAGTCTTTGGCTCGCTGGTCGGCCACAGCATCAACAGGAGCAAAGTGTCCCAGGCGGGCAACCAAGACCCGCACCTTCTCCATGAAAGCGGTTCTTCGCGGATCCTTAGAATCTGAATGCTGGGCCCCCATGTAATCCATGAAGTCTCGGGGCAGACCCCTCCGAAACTCCACATTTTCTTCCATTGCAGCCTGCACTGCCAGAGGCAGTATGGCCTCTAAGAAGTCACCCCAGGTATTGCGCTGGTACGTGGACAAGGTGAGGTGCAGAGAGTGGACTCCATCCTGGCATTCAGCTTGGTGAATGAAGCCCCGAGGAAAATACAGCAAATCTCCAGGTTCCAGCACGGTCTGCAGCACCGGCTCACCGAGGTCGTCCTGACTGAAGTTGGGGCTGGATGTCAGAGCCAGTTCCTCGGTTGGGACTCGGGGTCGGTATACACGCCAGAGTTTCCTACCTTCCAGCTGCAGCACGAAGGCCTCGATGTCGTCGTAGTGGGGGGCAAAGCCCTGCGAGTTAGGGGGCGTGAGGTAAACGTTGGAGCCTGCCATGCTTCCAAACTGCTCTTGAAGCACAGCCAAAAACTGCCACACAGTAGTAGAGAAAGCCTGCGGACAGAGGAGACGCAGGGAGCAGCCGGCCTGGTACAGGGACCACGCGGCGGCGGGCAGCGCGCGGCCGGGTGGGTTCAGGGTCTCGCGTCGTCCGTTGATGTAGCGAGCGGCGTCCAAATGCTGGCCGAACTGCACCTCCTCGTTGCGCAGCATCGAATCCAGGTCAGCGGTAGAGAAAAGTCCCTGGTAGTAGGTGTGGTCCTGCCGCCGCACCAGCACCGCCTCGCGCTCCCATAGGCGCCGGTAAAAGTGATCTGGCGGCATGGGCGCGATGAGCCACTCAAAGAGGCGGGCCGCTCGCCGCCGGCTGCTGGGGATGCGGTTCAGCTCGGCCAAGACGCGCCGCAGCGGGGAGTCCCAGGCCGGCTCCCCACCCGTGTTATCCACCTGCGGCCCCGACGCCGTCGCAGGGGCCCCGGACGACTGGACGGCCGCTAAGTGTTGCGCGGTGCACAGCAGGGCCGAGGTCTCCACCACCCGGACCGGCGCGGCGGGCACCTCCACCAGGCGCGCGGGCGGCGCGGAAGCGGGCACCAGGCGCGCCGACGGGGTCTGCAGGGAGCGCGCGGCGGGCGAGGCCTCCAGCAGCTCTGCGGGCCCCAGGTGGCCGTATGGCTCTCGCCGGGCTGCGTCCGGGACGGCCGCCACCGCCGCCCCACCGGGTAGCGCGTCCCCCAGGTCGTCGGCCGTCGACTCCACCCTCGATTCCTCCGAGTTCTCGCTAGGCAGCGTCTGCGTCCTCAGCGCTGCCATGCGGGATACAACACTTCGCAGCTGCTTTCGTATCTTCCTGGACCTCAAGGGCAGGGCCAGGACCGACCCGCTGTGTGGCTGGGGCTTGCGCCGGCGCTTCGGCCGCCCGCGCCTCAACGGCCCTGCACTGGCCTGGAGCCCATCCATGGCCAGACCACACCAGTCTTCCCCGCCCGGCCGGCCGGGGGCGAAGCTAAAGCGGTTCCTGAATGCAGCGGCTGCGGTGCACTCTGGGAAGGGGGCGCGGCCTCCAGCCACCTCGGGGTTGGCCACGCCCATCATTCTTCTATTCGGCCCCTCCCGCTCTCTTTCATTAAATGTTTGGCTTCAAGCTGTAGCGGCAGCGGCAAGAACCCTTGCCAAACAAACAAGGAATCTACACTCAGAGAGCAATTTAAAAATCAAGTTGCGGCCAAGCGCGGTGGTTCACGACTGTAATCCTAGCACTTTCGGAGGCCGAGGTGTGTGGATCACCTGAGGTCAGGAGTTCGAGACCAGCCTGACCAGTATGGTGAAACCCCGTCTGTACTAAAACTACAAAAATTGGCCGGGCGCGGTGGCTCCGCCTGTAATCCCAGCACTTTGGGAGGCCGAGGCGGGCGGATCACGAGGTCAGGAGATCGAGACCATCCTGGCTAACACGGTGAAACCCCGTCTCTACTAAAAAAGAAAAATACAAAAAACTAGCCGGACGTGGTGCTGGGCGCCTGTAGTCCCGGCTACTCGGGAGGCTGAGGCAGGAGGATGGCGTGAACCCGGGAGGCAGAGCTTGCAGTGAGCCGAGATGGCGCCACTGCACTCCAGCCTGGGCGACAGAGCGAGACTCCGCCTCAAAAAAATAAAAATAAATAATAATTTAAAAATTACAAAAATTAGCCAGGTGTGGTGACTTGCACCTGTAGTCCCAGCTACTCGGGAGGCTGAGACAGGAGAATTGCTTGAACTCGGGAGGTGGAGGTTGCAGTGAGCCGAGATCGTACCATTGCACTCCAGCCTGGGCGACAGAGTGAGACTCTTGTCTCAAAAAACAAGAAGAAGCACAAAATCAAGTTACTAGAGACTCCCCAGGAGAAATGGCTACTTGACTGTTTTTTCCTTCTAGTCTCTGCACATTGCAGTGTTCCTTGGATGTCCTCATTTCTAAACAGGATGTTCCACCGGCAGGTTCCCACCAAAAAGTGCAGAATTCTTCTTTTCAAGGAATGCCCCCAGGCAGTTTGAGTTCCGCAGAAACTTCTGCTCTGCAGATGAATTCACTGATTGAAGCCTTATCTAGGAGTTCCTCCACCTAACTTCTCTCCCTCTTTTCTCCAATACAAATTCTCAAATTCATTGTCCTCTCTCTGAAAAATAAGTTAAGAATTTCTCTACTTGCATTCTTGATATCTGCCCTTCCTGCCCCTCTGGGATTTTGTTTCTTTAGCTACAACTTCTTTGGCTCTTAAACTCAGGATCTTAAATCGGCTTCTAATTTAACAGGCAATGTGGTGGCATGCGGGTGTAATTTTTGAGAACGTGGTCACTGTCTGTCATGCAACTAATTGCTTTGTACATAAAGATTCCTTGTCTTCATTTGAATCATTTAAGATAAACTCCCAGAAATAAAAGTGCTGGGTCAAAAAGTAAGATACTTTTTGTGATTATTAATAGGTTTTACCAAACTGCCTTCCAAGAGGGTTTACAATGTTTCAAGCAATGATAAGCATATTAGACTACAGTACATGGCCTCTAGGACCTTTCTCTGTTTGAGCTTTCAACACTCCCTCTTTCTCAGTTGCAAGCCTATCCAAACACTTGCCAAGGCTTTTAGATTTTGTCCTTACCCATGTCTAACATCCACCCTTTTTTATTTCTCACATGGTCTGTTACACACACAGTTATCAACTGGGGGTGATATTGTCTCCATAGGGACATTTGGCAATGTCATATAGGGGGCTAGGGGTTGTCTAACATCTAGTAAACAGACACTAGAGACACTACTAAACATTCTACAATACTAAGGACAACCCTCCCACAACAAATAATTGTCTGATGCAAAATGTCAGTAGTGTAGTGTTGAGGCAGACAAATCCTGGTTTATTACAAATAGCCTCCCAACTAGTCTCTTTACCTTTATTTTTTATTTTTATTTTATTTTTTTGAGACAGGGTCTTGCTGTGTTACCCCAACCTCTGTGTTGCAATGGCCCAATCTTGGCTCACTGCAACCTCCACCTCCCAGGTTCAAGCGATTCTCCTGCCTCAGCCTCCCAGGTAGCTGGGATTACAGGCACCTGCTACCACCGAAGCTAATTTTTGTATTTTTAGTAGAGACAGGGTTTCACCATGTTGGTCAGGCTGGTCTCGAATTCCTGACCTCAGGTGATCCACCTATCTCGGCCTCCCAAAGTGCTGGGATTACAGGCATGAGCCGCGGTGCCCGACTGTCTCTTTACCATTAATTGCTCCTGTATTAGCCATTCTCACATTGCTATAAAGAACTACCTGAGACTGAGTAATTTATAAAGAAAAGAGGTTTAATTGGCTCACAGTTCCTCAGGCTGTAGAGGAAGCATGGTTGGGGAGGCCTAAAGAAACTTAAAATCATGGTGGAAGGTGAAGGGGAAGCAAGCTCATGCCTGTAATCCCAGCACTTCAGGAGGCCAAGGTGGGTGGATCATGAGGTCAGGAGATCAAGACCATCCTGGCTAGCACAGTGAAACCCCATCTCTACTAAAAATACAAAAAATTAGCCGGGCATAGTGGCACGCCCCTGTCATCCCAGCTACTCTGGAGGCTGAGGCAGGAGAATTGCATGAACCCGGGAAGTGGAGGTCGCAGTGAGTCAAGATCACGCTACTGCACTCCAGCCTGGGCGACACAGCGAGACTCCGTCTCAAACAAAAGCAACCAGATCTTGTGAGAACTCAACCACCATCATGAGAGCAGCAAGGGGGAAATCTGCCCCCATGATCTAATCACCTCCCACCAGGTCCCTCATCTAACATTGGAGATTACAATTCAACATGAGATTTGGGTGGGGACACAGAGCCAAACCTTATCAGCCCCCATGCCAATTTATACCACAGATAGCTACAAGATGAATTTTCTCAAGTTGAGGCCCCAAACCTGTCATCACCCTACTCAAAATCTACCTAGGTGCCCCATTGACAAATCCAAGTTCCTCAGCTAGGTACTGGAGTCACATAATGTTACAGCCTATCATCCCCAACCCCTGTAAACTCTACTTCTACAAGCTAGACTGTTTGCTGTTGCTTACCTATATCATCCTTTATATGTTTTCTCAGGCTGTTTCCTCTGCATATTGTCCCCCAATTATCTTTTGTCAAAACCCTAATTAAAGCCCATTTCACATTCCATCTCCTCTCCAAAGGCGCTACCATCTCCTTCATCTCAAGAGAATTTTGACTCTTTCACATGAATTTAACACATTGTGCTGGTAATTCATGTTCTTGTCACATTCCTTCCTAAAATTCAAGGAAAAGACTTCCTTATGCCTTTTTCTATCCCGTCTTGCATTTAGCACACTGCCCTGGGATTACAAGCATGAGCCACCATGCCCTGCTAAAAATATAGGCTTTGTTTGTTTGTTTGTTTTGAGATAGAGTCTTGCTCTGTCATCCAGGCTGGAGTGCAGTGGTGCTATCTTGGCCCACTACAACCTCTGCCTCCCAGATTCAAGCAATTTTCTCCTGCCTCAGCCTCCCGAGTAGCTGGGATTACAGGCACCCCCTACCATGCCCAACTAATTTTTGTATTTTTAGTAGAGATGGGGTTTCCCATGTTGGCCAGGCTGGTCTCAAACTCCTGACCTCAGGTGATCTGCCTGCCTCAGCCTCCCAAAGTGCTGGGATTACAGGCGCGAGCCACTGTGCCCAGCCAAAATATAGTATTTTTTAAACAATAAACTTTACTTTCCCTAATTCATCTCATTTTTCTTGATTTTTAAGCATTGCTTACCTTTCTCTTCTTTTTTTTTTTGTTTTGAATCAATAGAATTCCCTTTTAAAAAAATCAAAGGAAATTGACATTCTTTTTTTAATTATTATTATTATTATTTTTAGTACAGACGGGGTTTCACCATGTTAGCCAGGATGGTCTCCATCTCCTGACCTCATGATCTGCCCGCCTTGGCCTCCCAAAGTGCTGGGATTACAGGCGTGAGCCATCGCGCTGGGCCAGGAACTTGACATTCTGAATATAGATGCTAATCATTGTTATTCAGAGAAACTTCTACAGAAAAGAAGATGAATAGAGCCAACAGGATGTTTAAGTGTACATAGTATGATTTAAAGCCTATCAGGAAAGTACCCCAAATTATCTCTCCCATCAAAATTCATCCCATCATTAGATAGTTATTCTTGAATTAGTCATTGTCACTTTCACTTCATCTATATCTAAAGTGTAAATATACTGGGAAGGAAGGGTGATATATACTAAATTATAAGTTCCTTTCTTTTTTTTTTTCAAGACAGAGTCTCACTCTGTTGCCCAGGCTGGAGTGCAATGGCACGATCTCGGCTCACTGCAATCTCCGCCTCCTGGGTTCAAGCAATTCTCCTGTCTCCACCTCCCAAGTAGCTGGGATTACAGGCGCAGGCCACCACACCCGGCTAATTTTTGTATTTTCACTAGAGACGGGGTTTCGCCATGTTGGTCAAGCTGGTCTTGAACTCCTGGACTCAGGCAAGCCACCTGCCTCAGTCTCCCAAAGTGCTGGAATTACGGGCGTGAGCCACCACACCCAGCCTCATAAGTTCTTTTCTTTAAGAAGGAAGGATAGCATGAGTTGTTGAAAGGGAGATGGTGAGAAAGAGAAATAAAAGGAAAGTAAAAGAAAGCAAATGTCCGAGGCAGTGGTTCTGAACCTGGGGCTATTTTGCACCCCCAGGGGTCATTTAGCAATATCTAGAGATATTTTTGGTTGTCCAACAGTGGGGGTGCTACTAGCATTGAGGGATGCTGTAAAACATTCTACAATGTACAATGAAACCCCATAACCAAGGAGTATCTGGGCCCAAATGTCAATAGTACCAGGATTGAGAAACCCTGGTAAAAACTTTTAGATGACAATTCATCAATACAAAATTTTGATATCTTTGACCCAGTAGTAATTCTACATCTAGAAATCTATCCTTAAAAAATATTCACTGGCCAGGTGCAGTGGCTAACACCGATAATCCCAACACTTTGGTAGGCTGAGGCAGGTGGATTGCTTGAACTCAAGAGTTCCAGACCAGCCTGAGCAACATGGTGAGACGCTGTTGCTATGAAAAATCAGCATTTTTTTTTTTTTTGAGACAGAGTCTTGCTTTGTCACCTAGCCTGAAATGCAGTGGCGTGATCTTGGCTCACTGCAACCTCCACCTGCCAGGTTCAAGCGATTCTTGTGCCTCACCTGAGTAGCTTGGATTACAGGCATGTGCCACGATGCCCAACTAATTTTTGTATTTTTAGTTGAGATGGAGTTTTGCCATGTTGGCCAGGCTGGTCTTGAACTCCTTGCCCTAAGTGATCCAACTGCCTTGGCCTCCCAAAGTGCTGGGATTACAGGAATGAGCTGCCATGCCAAGCCGAAAAATTTTAAATACAAAAATTAGCCAGGCATGGTGATGTACACCTGTGGTCCCAGCTACTAGGGAGGCTAAGGTGGGAGGATGGCTTGAGCCTGGGATGCAGAGGTTGCAGTGAGCTGAGATGGCGCCACTGCACTCCAGCCTGGGCAATAGAGCCAAACCCTGTCTCGAAAAAAAAAAAAAAAATTCACCCATGTGTACAAAGATATTTACACATAGATGGTTGTTGCTTTTAATTTCAAAACTGGAAATTACTCAAATATCTACCAATCAATAGTTATTTAAAGGAATGACAAGGAAATGTCTATAACGTGTTAAAAAATCAAATTATAGAACAATATGTTGTCCCATTTTTTGCTTAAAAAATGCAGCCAATATACATTATATATAATTTTCTTTTCTTTTCTTTATTCTTTTTTCTTTTTTGAGACAGAGTTTCCCTCTGTCACCCAGGCTGGAGTGCAGTGGTGCAATCTCGGCTCACTGCATCCTCCACCTCCCAGGTTCAAGCGATTCTCCTGCTTCAGCCTCCCAAGTAGTTGGGATTACAGGCGCTTGCCACCATGCCCAGCCAATTTTTCTATTTTTAGTAGTGACAAGGTTTCACCATATTGGCTAAGCTGGTCTCAAACTGCTGACCTCAGGTGATCCACCTGCCTCAGCCTTCCAAAGTGCTGGGATTACAGGCATGAGCCTACATTATGTAAAATTTATTTAAAACCATATATGTGTGTGTGTGTGTGTGTGTGTGTGTGTCTGTGTGTGTGTGTGTGTGTGTCTGCCTGCATAGTTGAATATCTGGAAAGATATAAACCAAACTGAAGACAGAAAGAAGTTCCCTCTGGGCAATGGGATTATTTGTTATAGAAGAATTTTCATGTTTAACTTTAGGATGTTAATATAAAGTTTAGGCTGGGTGTGGTGGCTCATGCCTGTAATCCCAGCACTTTGGGAGGCTGAGGCGGGAGGATCACTTGGGGCCAGGAGTTCGAGACCAGCCTGGCCAACATAGTGAAACCCCGTCTCTACTAAAAAATACAAAAATTAGCCGGGTGTGGTGGCATGTGCCTATAATCCCAGCTACTCAGGTGGCTGAGGCACCAGAATTGCTTGAATGCGGGAGACAGAGGTTGCAGTGAGCCAGGATCGCGCCACTGCACTCCAGCCTGGGCAACAGGGCAAGACTCCCTCTCAATGACAAACAAACAAACAAACAAAAAACCACAGTTTGAATAGGCCATCTGGCCCCAAAAGCCTGAAATATCTACTATCTGGCCTTTTACAGAACAAATTGGCTGAGTCTTGCTATACGTCGTAACAGATGCTATCTAGGATGTTGAATTTCCAACTCTTTTGCTTGCTCATATAACCTATAAAATAATTTTGAAAAATGATGTCACCTCTTTACCTTCTTAAATTGACATCTAAAATGAGGCCAGGCATGATGGCTCACGCCTGCAATCCCAGCACTTTGGGAGGCAGAGGCAAGTGGATCACCTGAGGTCGGGAGTTTGAGACCAGCCTGGCCAACATGGTAAAACCCCGTCTCTACTGAAAATAAAGAAAAATTAGCCAGGTATGGTGGTGCATGCCTGTAATCCCAGCTACTCGGGAGGCTGAGACAGGATAATCGCTTGAACCTGAGAGGCGGAGGTTGCAGTGAGCCTGAGATTGAGCCACTGTACTACAGCCTGGGTGACAGAGATGAGACTCCGTCTCAAAAAAAAAAAATTGACATCTAAAATGTTTTCATTTTAAATAGAAGCAGAGTTTAATTTCAAACATGTAAGTATTCCAGCTTTACATATTGATATTTTAAGTTCAAAACTGAATTTAAATGCATCCATTTGAATCTAAATGCCATAACAGTTTGATAACTACCATCATCCATTTTAAAAATAAAATATGTAAGCTCTTCTTTAAAATTAAAATTACATCTTAAAAAAAAACGCTCACATTTCCTTTATGAAGTAACTTCCACACAGAATTTTATCCTAATATACAATTGTGCTTGAAAGTATTTATTTTTCATCATCACATCTGCAACAAAAATCTGTATTTAAATTGAGGGTTGGGGCATGATGGTACACGTAGTTTTAGCTACATGTGAGGCCAGAGACAGGAGGATCACTTGAGCCCAGGAGTTCAAGTTTATAGTGAGCTATGATCGTGCCTGTGAATAGGTACTAGCTCCTGCACTCTGGCAGCTGGGGCAACATAGTAAGACCAGGTCTCTAAAAAACAAACAAACAAATAAAAAACACCTGATGTAAAAAATGAAGGTTTTAAAATTTATTCTCCATGACTAGAAGACTGTCTATATTTCTTTCAGGTAATCATTACAATTATTATTAGTATACTTCATGTTCCAATTTTCCATACATAAATCAGAAATATTAACCCACACTCCCCTGGGAAACAATTTTATTAACTAGAGTACAGTGCTATGTGCAATTCCTGTTGTATTTAGTCTTATAGATTCCACACATTTCCGAAGTTTTTCCTACTCCCTTCACTGAAGTTGCTCTATACATTTGGTTCTCTTGCTACATGCAGTCCGTATTCCTTCCTAGATCCCCTTACTTCCTAAATGTTTTTGTTTTAATTTGCATACATTAACGTTTACTCTGGCTGGGTGGGGTGCCTCATGCCTGCAATCCCAGCACTTTGGGAGGCTGAGATGGGTGGATCACCTGAGGGCCAGGAGTTCCAGACCAGCCTGGCCAACATGGTGAAACCCCCATCTCTACTAAAAATACAAAAACTAACTGGGCATGGTGGTGTGTGCCTGTAATCTCAGCTACTTGGGTGGCTGAGGCATTTAAAAGAAGCTTGAATTTGGAAGGCGGAGGTTATGGTGAGCCGAGATTGCACCATTGCACTCCAGCCTGGGTGACAAGAGTGAAACTCTGTCTCAAAAAATAAGGTTCACTCTTCTTGCTGTAAAGTTCTACAGGTTTTAACAAATGAATAATGTCATGTAACCATCATATATTATACAGAATATTCAGAATAGTTTCACCACCTTAAAAAGTCTCCTGTGCTTCCCTTTTTTTGTTTGAGATGGAGTCTCGAAGTCTGGCTGTGTCGCCCAGACTGGAGTGCAGTGGCGCAGTCTCGGCCCATTGCAGCCTCCGCCTTCTGGGTTCAAGTAATTCTCCTGCCTCAGCCTCCTGAGTAGCTAGGATTACAATCGCCTGCCACCATGCCTGGTTAATTTTTGAATTTTTAGTAGAGACAGAGTTTCACCACATTGGCCAGGCTGGTCTTGAACTTCTG
Organism: Homo sapiens; assembly: GCF_000001405.40. Taxonomy (NCBI): domain Eukaryota; kingdom Metazoa; phylum Chordata; class Mammalia; order Primates; family Hominidae; genus Homo; species Homo sapiens. The sequence goes on along the minus strand of NC_000014.9, from coordinate 73,482,310 downwards.
ACCTCAGGTGATCTGCCCGCCTCAGGCTTCCAAAGTGCTGGGGTTACAGGTGTGAGCCACTGTGCCCGGCCTAATTTTTGTATTTTTAGTAGAGACTGGGTTTCACCATGTTGGCCAGGCTGGTCTCAAACTCTTGGCCTCAAGTCATCTGCCTGCGTGGGCCTCCTAAAGTGCTGGGATTACAGGCGTGAGCCAGTGTGCCCGGCCTGTGCTTCACTTATTCAACCCTCCTTTCCTCCCCACAAATACCTGTCAACCACTGATTTTTCTTTTTTCCTCTCCTTTTTTTGTTTTGTTTTTGTTTTTTATTTTGAGACAGGGTCTCCTCCTGTTGCCTAAGCTGGAGTTGCAGTGGTATGATCATGGCTCACTGCAGCCTCAACTGCCCCTGCTCAAGTGATCCTCCCACCTCAGCCTCCCGAGTAGCTGGACAACTACTGATGTTTTTATTTTTTTATTTTTTTTTGAGATGGAGTCTCGCTCTGTCACCCAGGCTGGAGTGCAGTGGCACGATCTTGGCTCACTGCAAGCTCCGCCTCCCAGGTTCACGCCATTCTCCTGCCTCAGCCTCCCGAGTAGCTGGGACTACAGGTGCCCGCCACCATGCCCGGCTAATTTTTTTTTTGTATTTTTAGTAGAGACGGGGTTTCACCTTGTTAGCCAGGATGGTCTCGATCTCCTGACCTCGTGATCCGCCCGCGTCGGCCTCCCAAAGTGCTTGGGATTACAGGCATGAGCCACCATGCCCGGCCTTTTTTTACTATCTCTATAGCTTTGTCTTTTACACAATGTCATATAATTGGAATTATACAGTATGTTGCCTTTTCCGGCTGCCTTCTTTCACCTAGCAATACATATCTTTTTTTTTCTTTGAGACACAGTCTCACTTTGTTGCCCAGGTTGAAGTGCAGTGGCACCATCTCACCTCACTGCAATATCTCACTCCCGGGTTCAAGTGATTCTCGTGCCTCAGCCTCCCAAGTAGCTGGGATTACAGGCGTGCACCGCCACCCCCCGCTAATTTTTGTATTTTTAGTAAAGATGGGGTTTCACCATGTTGGCCAAGCTGGTCTCAAACTCCTGACCTCAAGTGATCTGCCTGCCTCGGCCTCCCAAATTGCTGGGATTACAGGCGTCAGCCAACCTCCTGGCAGCAATACACATTTGAAGAGGTTCATGTCTCTACTAAAATAATTAACTCTACTAGTTCTGTCTCTACTAAAATAATTAAAATAATGCATGTCTTTTTCTGGCTTCACAGCTCATTTCTTTCTTTCTTTCTTTCTTTTTTTTTTGAGATGGAGTCTTGCTCTGCTGCCCAGGCTGGAGTGCAGTGGTGTGTTCTCGGCTCACTGCAACCTCTGACCCCCGGGTTCAATCGATTCTTCTGCCTCAGCCTCCTAAGTAGTGGAAATACAGGCACATGCCACCACGCCCAGGTAATTTTTGTATTTTTACAAGAGACAGGGTTTCACCATGTTAGTCAGGCTGGTCTCGAACTCCTGACCTTGTGATCCGCCTGCCTTGGCCTCCCAAAGTGCTGAGATTACAAGTATGAGCCACCGCGCCAGGCATCGTTTCTTTTTACCTCTGAATACTCTTCCATTGTGTAGGTGCACCAGTTTGTTCATTCACTTCTTGAAAGACATCTTGGTTGCTTCTAGTTTTGGGTGATTATAATAAAGCTTCTACAAACATTCATGTACAGGTCAGACTTACTTTGTATCATGACTTCATTTTTTATTTCACATACAATATTCAAAAAACATAATAAAATATTAAAAATAAATATAACAAATATAAGAATAAATCTTGAAAATTAAAATTAAAATAATATGGTCCATTATAATTGATTAATCTTTTTTTATTTTGAGACAAAGTCTCTCTCTGTCGCCCAGGCTAGAGTACAGTGGCGCAATCTTGGCTCACTGCAACCTCTGCCTCCTGGTTCAAGCGATTCTTCTGCCTCAGCCTCCCGAGTAGCTGAGATTACAGGCATCTGCGCCATGCCTGGCTAATTTTTGTATTTTTAGTAGAGATGGGGTTTCACCATGTTGGCCAGGCTGGTCTTGAACTCCCGACCTCAAGTGAGCTGCCTGCCTTGGCCTCCCAAAGTGCTGGGATCACAGGTGTGAGCCACCGTGCCCAGCCAATTATTCATTTTTTAAGAAATGAAAAACAAGATAAATAATACATTGGTTTTATTACTTAACTAGTAATAACGCCATATAATGTATAGCTGAAATTATAACTTATTAGTGAAGTAAAGAATATTATAAGAGATATTGTGTTCCTTCTACAAATGTGTGAGTGAACATATATCGAACTCTGGTGTTAGGCTTTTATTTTTATTTTTTAATGGGCAGCTTTTCAAGCCAGAGTAGGCTGAGAGAGACTACCCTGGTGTTAGGCTTTTGAGATTAATTAAAGAATAATCTCTGGGCATGGTGGCTCACGCCTGTAATCTCAGCACTTTGGGAGGCTGAGGCAGGCAGATCATGAGGTCAGGAGTTCAAGACCAGCCTGGCCAACATGGTGAAACCCTGTCTCTACTAAAAATACAAAAAAATTAGCTGGGCGTGGCCGGGAGCGGAGGCTCATGCCTGTAATCCCAGCACTTTGGGAGGCCGAGGCCGGCGGATCACCTGAGTTCGAGACCAGCCTGGCCAACATGGAGAAACGCTGTCTCTACTAAAAATACAAAATTAGTAGGGTGTGGTGGCGCATGCCTGTAATCCCAGCTACTTGGGAGGCTGAGGCAGGAGAATCCCTTGAACTCTGGGGGCAGAGGTTGCGGTGAGCCGAGATCGCACCATTGCACCCCAGCCTGGGCAACAAGAGCGAAACTCCGTCTCAAAAAAAAAAAAAAAAGAAAGAAAGAAAGAAAGAAAAAAAAACGCCGGGCGCAGTGGCTGACACCGTAATCCCAGCACTTTGGGAGGCCGAGGCGGGCTGGTCACAAGGTCAGGAGATTGAGACCCTCCTGGCTAACACGGTGAAACCTCGTCTCTACTAAAAATACAAAAAATTAGCTGGGCGTGGTGGTGGGCGCCTGTAGTCCCAGCTACTCGGGAGGCTGAGGCAGGAGAATGGCGTGAACCCGGGAGGCGGAGCTGGCAGTGAGCCGAGATGGCGCCACTGCACTCCAGCCTGGGAGAGAGTGTGAGACTCCGTCTCAAAAAAAACAAACAAACAAACAAAAAAATTAGCTGGGCGTGGTGGCGGGCGCCTGTAATCCCAGCTGCTTCAGAGGCTGAGGCAAGAGAATCACTTGAACCCGGGAGTCGGAGATTGCAGTAAGCCGAGATTGCGCCACTGAACTCCAGCCTGGGCGACAGAGTGGGACTCCGTCTCAAAAAGAAAAAAAAAAAGGAGACACCCTATAGCCAAAGAGGCCTTCACTTGGGCTCTGCCGCTCACATGAGACACGTTTGGCATATGCACTCATGTTTTCATGTTTCTCTGCAGCCTGTGAAGCCCCGCGCACCAAATCCCTGGTTACAAAGTTCAGTCCCAGGCCTAACCACACGAAGCAAAGTTCGTTCATCACTTGTCAAAGATCTACGCACCTCCCCCGAGAAAAGGATTGCTGTGGGACCATTTAGATCCGACTACCCAGCTCTTTATCTGGGTAAATTCTCAGAGAGAACATTTTTTTCTCCCATCATGTCTTCTCCCTCTGGAAAGAAAGGTGCTCATCTCTAAGCTGAACACTTGTCTTACTTCAAGATGCAGGAAGCAGTGGACCTGGTCACATTGGGTCTTTTTAATTGATACTGTACAATCTTGTTGTCACTATGTTTATAAAGAGAAATTATTTAACAGTAGACCTCATGTCTTAATGCGCACTATTTACATGGAAGGTTAAAGAAAATTGACATCACATTAGATGACAGAGCATATTTTTCCACGCCCCAGAAAGGTCATGTACTAAATATGGGTCAGAGTTCCAAATCTTTCTAAAGCAGTAATATTGAAGGATCCAGCATCTTTTCCAAACGGTACAAATTGCCCTCTGAAACTCAAATTAGGGCTGGGCACTGTGGCTTATGCCTATAATCCCAGCACTTTGAGAGGCCAAGGTGGGTGAATCACATGAGGCCAGGAGTTTGAAACCATCCTGGCTAACATGGTGAAACCTCGTCTCTACTAAAAATACAAAAAAATTAGCTGAGTGTGGTGGCACACACCTGTAATCCCAGCTACTAGGTGGGCTGAGGCAGGAGAATAGCTTGAACCCAGGGGGCAGAGTTTGCAGTGAGCCGAGATTGCGCCACAGCATTCCAGCCTGGATGACAGAATGAGACTGTCTCAAAAAATAATAAAATAAAATAAAACCCAAACTAGAATCCCATTTGTCTAGGAAAGAAACAGCTTAGGTGACTTTTTAAATCTACAAGTCTTGTCTTGTTCTAGATTAGGTTCTTTAACCACAGCCCACAGAGCAATGTGGAAGCCATGTCACGGGACTATTACAAAAAATCCAGGCCAGCGTAATCATTTCCCCCTTTGTACTATGTGGGTGGATGTGAATGCATCTCTACCCTTGGGAAACAACTCTGCAGTTTCACACGGCAGATTAGCAATTCTCATGAGCCTCAATGTACTTAATATTTGAAATACTCAAGCATCATAGAATAGCTGTAAACTGAATCTATATCATAAGATGAGATTCTGTAAGAGCACATGATACCCAAAAATTGCCATGGATGAGTAAAGACCCAGATTTCCAAGTAGTGTGAATCCAGCTTCCTTTCCTAAATACTGATTGCTATTTATACCCTAAAATGTTTGAGACATTCATTAATGAAAATAAAGACAACATGAACCTCTCCCCTTTTTTCTTCCCCTAATCACATCCTTTCTTCCCGTGGCTCTGTTATTGTCAAAAATATAAAAAGCAAGGCCGGGCATGGAGGCTCATGCCTGTAATCCCAGCACTTTGGGAGGCCGAGGCAGGCAGATCACCTGAGGTCAGGATTTCGAGACCAGCCTGGCCAACATAGTGAAACCCCGTCTCTACTAAAAATACAAAAATTAGCGGGGCATGGTGGCAGGCACCTGTAATCCCAGCTACTCCGGAGACTGAGGCAGGAGAATCATTTGAACCTGGGAGGCGGATGTTGCATTGAGCCGAGATCTCGCCACTGCACTCCAGCCTGAGCGACAGAGTAAGGCTCCACCATCTAAAAAAAAAAAAAAAAAAAAAAAAAAAATATATATATATATATATATATATATATATATATATATATATATATGGAGAGAGAGAGAGAGAGAGTGAGAGAGCGCACGCAATATTTTCTTCTATAAATTCCTGACTGCTATGAAACACGGTGGTGGGGGGGTCTTTGGGGATATGAGCTAACTTCGTAACAGAAACTCTTCCCTTTCCTTGACTCATGTAACCCATGGAATGTGTATTACTTTACACTTTCCCTTTAAGTGAAATACTAATCTAAAAAGCACTATCACATGGATCAAAGTTACTTCCGCATCTAACCTGAGGATTCTGGGATCTGGCTACTATGAGACATTCAAGACAATGAATAATTCTGTATGAGCACTTTCTCAGCCCCTCTATCTTTGAATTTGTCATTTCATAGTGAAAGGACTTTATTGTGCACTCTTTGCTTTGCTGGCAGGAGCAAGAGAGCCTAACTGAACCCTTCAGTCAGTCAGCCAGCAAGACCATACAGAGGGTCTATTAGGCCATCAGCACTGTGGGAGACGGAGCAGCAGCAGAAGAAATGGCCCTTGTCCTCGAGGAGTTTACAAGGGGTTTTAGAAGACAGACACACAAGAACCTTTCAAAGACAATATGCTTAATTTAGTGAGAATTGTGTGGTATACAGCAGATGTGCTGTAGGAGTTCAGGGAAGGGGGGCAGGAGTCGTCATGGAGACATGGGAATTTGTGTTGGATCTGAGATGGCACAAGATTTAGGCAGAGAGGAGGAGAGAGGACCTTCCAGGTAAGGGGAGGGATGGGAGAAAAGGCTGGGGGAAGGAAGGAGCTCAGCAAGGGTCCATGACAGCTCCTTTCCCCTCTCCTGTTTCCACAGTGGTTCCCAAGTTTCTTCACAACAGAAAAGCAGGCATCTGCTCTCCTTACTATCACGGTTTTGTTTCTTTGTGTTTTGTGTTTGTTGTTGTTGTTGTTGTTGTTTTTGAGACGGGGTCTCACTCTGTTGCCCATGCTGAAGTGTGGTGGTAAGATCTTGGCTCACTGCAACCTCAACCTTCTGGGCTCAAGTGACTCTCCCACCTCAGCCTCCTCAGTAGCTGGGACCACAGGCATGCACCACAACGCCTGGCTAATTTTTATATTTTTTGTAGAGATGGGGTCTCGCTATGCTGCCTAGGCCAGTCCCAAACTCCTGGGCTCAAATGATCTGCCCTCCTAAAGTGCTGGGATTACAGGCTTGAGCCACTGTGCCCAGCCATGTTTTTGTTAATCTTTTTTTTTTTTTTTTTTTTGAGATGGAGTCTCGCTCTGTTGTCCAGGCTGGAGTCGGGGTGGCATGATCTCGGCTCACTGCAACCTCCGCCTCTCAGGTTCAAGAGATTCTCCGCCCCAGCCTCCTGAGTAGCTGGGATTACAGGCGCATACCACATGCCCAGCTAATTTTTTGTAATTTTAGTAGAGACGGGGTTTCACCATGATGGCCAAGCTGGTTTCGAACTCCTGACCTCAAGTGAATCCGCCTGCCTTGGCCTCCCAAAGTGCTAGGATTATAGGTGTGAGCTACTGCGCCCAGCCTTGTTAATCTATTAACAAAATGTTATAATGACAAAATACTCCAGAAGTTCCACAAATCCTTTTATAAAGGGCCCTACCTGTCCTTCCTGGCTGAGGCATTTACAGGTGATTCTCACTTCTCACAAAGATAAATGTGTCAGGTGTTTCCTTTTCATTGCTCCTTTTGTCATCTTTCCTCTCCCTTCCTTCTGCCATACTCATTAACTCCACTGGTTGATTAGACAAGGGACTGATCCCTATCCTGCCGTAAAAGAAAGCTTCTGTTTGGACCAGCATGTGGGAGAAACATGCTGACCTTGCCTTAGTCAGGATCTAGAGAAATTTTTCATTTTTCAATCAAGGTTCATGTTTCCATTGGTTTACACGTTCCATCTAAGTTACCATCCCCCTTGTGAACCACGTCAGCCAGACCAACAGCAAAGTGGGGGTTGTGGGTCAGAAGGAAATCACCTGTGTTAGAATTTCCTCTCCCCTACCCTCACCCTGTCCCATCATTTCTTTGTTTTCTTTTTTTTTAAGGGACAGAGTTTCTCGCTCTTTCATCCAGACTGGAGTGCAGTGTTATGACCTTGGCTCACTACAACCTCCACCTCTGGTTTTCAAGTGATTCTCGCGCCTCAGCCTCCTGAGTAGCTGGGATTACCTGTGTGAGCCACCACACCCGGCTAATATTAATATTTTTTTAGTAAAGACAGGGTTTCACCATGTTAGCCAAGCTGGTCTCAAACTCCTGGCCTCAAGTGATCCACCTGCCTCAGCCTCCCAAAGTGCTGGGATTACAGGCATGAGCCACCCGCACCCAGCCTTCCCATCTTTTTTTTTTTTTTTTTTTTTTGAGCCGGAGTCTGGCTCTGTCGCCCAGGCTGGAGTGCAGTGGCGCGATGTCGGCTCACTGCAAGCTCCGCCTCCCGGGTTCACGCCATTCTCCTGCCTGAGCCTCCCGAATAGCTGGGACTACAGGCGCCTGCCACCGCGCTCAGCTAATTTTTTTGTGTTTTTAGCAGAGACGGGGTTTCACTGTGTTAGCCAGGATGGTCTCGATCTCCTGACCTCGTGATCCGCCCGCCTCGGCCTCCCAAAGTGCTGGGATTACAGGCGTGAGCCACCTCGCCCGGCCTCCCATCATTTCTTGATGGGCTATATTGTCAGCAAACATTTACCAAATACATAATTAGTAGTCATCATGGATATGCCAGCAAATATCACGTGGTTTTTCTGACTTTGGGGATTTGTTGTCTAATTGGATAAAATGGGCTTTTCTTGTTGGAGGCAGCAACAGAGCCTTTCAGAGGTCAAGAGCAAGCTGGTTACTCTTTTTTTTTTTTTTTTTTTTTTTTGAGACGGAGTCTTTGTTGCCCAGGCTGGAGTGCAGTGGCACGATCTCGGCTCACTGCAAACTCCGCCTCCCGGGTTCACGCCATTCTCCTGCCTCAGCCTCCCGAGTAGCTGGGACTACAGGGGCCCGCCACCAAGCTCGGCTAATTTTTTGTATTTTTGTAGTAGAGACGGGGTTTCAACGTGTTAGCCAGGATGGTGTCAATCTCCTGACCTCATGATCTGCCGGCCTCGGCCTCCCATGGTGCTGGGATTATAGGCGTGAGCCATCGCGCCCGGCCTCGTTACTCCTTTTTGAGACCCCAGTTATATTTTTAAAAATGAAGTGCCAAAACTCAATTTTAAAAAGTTTTGGTAGATTTTTAATGTGTATGCTTAAGGTTTTTGTTTGTTTGTTTTTGAGACAGAGTCTTGTGTCGCCCAGGCTGGAGTACAGTGGCACAGTCTTGGCTCACTGCAACCTCCACCTCCCAGGTTCAAGCCATTCTCCTGCCTTAGCCTCCTGAGTAGCTGGGATTACAGGTACCCACCACCATGCCCAGCTAATTTTTGTATTTTTAGTGTAGACGGGGTTTTGCCATGTTGGTCAGGCTGGTCTCAAACTCCTGACCTCAAGTGATCCACTCGCCTTGGCCTCCCAAAGTGCTGAGATTACAGGCATGAGCCACTGCACCTGGGCAAGTTATCATTTTTTAACACAAACAATTACAATGAGTTTCTTTTGAAATAATTTTTAAAAAATTGAAATTGACATGAATGTTCATAGCAACATAGGGAGACCCCCGTCTCTACAAAACATAAAAATACCAGCCTGAGCAACATGGCAAAACCCCATCTCTACAAAAAATACAAAGATAGCTGGGCATGGTGGCATGCACCTCTGGTCCCAGCTGAGCCCAGGAGTTCAAGGCTGTAGTGAGCTGTGATCATGCCACGGCATTCCAGCCTAGGCAACAAAGCAAGACCTTGTCTTAAAAAAAAAGAATCCAGAGAGAGGATCAGGCAGTTAGTGCCTTCATTAGACCACACTATCCCATCAACACCAAACTGTTGTTTGGAGGGCTTCAGCTCACAGCACCATGCAATTTCCTAACGCTTCTGAGTTTGAGACTCCCCTAGACAGAAGCTAAGTGGAGCACATCAGACTTCCAAAAGCCTCTGCAAAGCAACGTGGTATTGTGGGAAAATGGTAGATGCAAGTTCAAATAACCTACTGCTAATAATAAATGTGTGACTTTGTGAAAATTACTTTATCCTTCTGACTTTTACTTTCATCATTTGTAAAACGAGAAGAAGACTATCTCATGGGTCTCTTGCATGTGGTTCCCAACCAGGCTGCATGTTAAAATCGCAGTTTAAAAATGTGACAGCCTGAGTCACACCTCCTGCAAGTTAAATTGGTGTCTCCAAGGGTGAGATCCAGACACCAGTAGATTTTTAAAGCTTCACACGTCATTCTAATCTGCATCCAGGATTGAAAATCACTCGTGAAGCCAGGTGCGGTCGCTCACGCCTGTAATCCTAGAACTTTGGGAGGCTGAGGCAGGAGGATCACCTAAGGTCGGGAGTTCGAGACCAGCCTGATCAACATGGTGAAACCCCCATCTCTACTAAAAATACAAAAATTAGCCGTGCGTGGTGGCCAGCATCTGTAGTCCCAGCTACATGGGAGGCTGAGGCAGGAGAATTGCTTGAACCTGGGAGGCGGAGGTTGCAGTGAGCCAAGATCGCGCCACTGTACTCCAGCCTGGACGATAGAGTGAGACTCCGTTTCAAAAAAAAAAAAAAATCACTGGTGAGAATTAAATAATGTTACTGTACTTATGTAAATCAGGTGCCCTGTTAGTTCCTAGTCATTCCTCAATTTAAATTTCAAACCAGCAATTGACTGTGCTTTTGGTGTGTGTTCTAAAATTTTACCACTAGATGTCACTTTGACCATACAAGTTGGTTCTTGGAAGCTTCTGCTTCTCCGTTCTCAGAGTAACAACCATACAGCATCACCACAACCATTTGTTGAGCACCTGCTGAATGCCAGGCAGAGTGCCAATTTTCTTTCTTTTTTTTTTGAGACAGGGTCTCACTCTGTCGCCCAGGTTGGAGTGCAGTGGTGCAATCATGGCTCACTGTAGGCTTGACTTCCTGGGCTCAAAAATGATCCTCTTTCCTCAGCCTTCCCAGTAGCTGGGACTATAGGCACGCGCTCACCGCACCCAGCTAGTTTTTAATTTTTTTGTGGAGATGAGGTCTCCCTCTGTTTCCCAGGCTGGTCTCAAACTTGTGGGCTCAAGTGATCCTCCCATCTCAGCCTCCCAAAATGTTGGGATTACAGGCCACCATGCCCAGCTGCCAGTGATTCTTAGAACACATGACCTCCAGTCACATAACAACAAATAAGCAAGGTAGTTGTTATCCCAGTCATGAAAAAAGGGTTACAAATAATCTGTGACTTGTACAAAGATACACAGTTAGTGGCAGAACTGGGATTCCAGCTTCATTCATTCATTCACTCATTCAAAAACACTGAACAGGCTGGGTGCGGTGGCTCATGCCTGCAATTACTTCACTTTGGGAGGCCGAGGTGGGAGGATCAAGACCAGCCTAGGCAACATAGTGAGACTCCATCTCTACCAAAAAAAAAAAAAAATACAAAAATTAGCCAGGCATGATGGCACATGCCTGCAGTCCCAGCTACTCAGAGGCTGAGGTGGGAGGATCACTTGAGCTCAGGAGGCAGAGGTTACAGTGAGCCGAGATGGGGCCACTGCACTCCAGCGTGGGTGACAGAGCCAGACCCTGTCTCAAAATTAATTAATTAATTAAAATTTAAAAACACTGGGCCAGGCGCGGTGGCTCACGCCTGTAATCCTAGCACTTTGGGAGGCCGAGGCAGGTGGATTGCCTGAGATCAGAAGTTTGAGACCAGCCTGGGCAACATGGTGAAACCCCATCTCTACTAAAATACAAAAAATTAGCCGGGTGTGGTGGCAGATGCCTGTAGCCCCAGCTACTCGGGAGGCTGAGGCAAGAGAATTGCTTGAACCTGGGAGGCAGAAGTTGCAGTGAGCTGAGATCGCGCCACTGCACTCCAGCCTGTGACAGAGTGGGACTCTGTCTCCAAAAAAAAAAAAAAAAAATTTAAAACACTGAACACTTACTATGTGCAAGGTACTGTACCTGGTACTGGAAATTCAAAGATGAATATAGCATAGTTCTCATTCTCCAGATGTTCTTTTTTTTTTTTTCTTGAGACAGAGTTTCGATCTTGTTGCCCAGGCTGGAGTGCAATGGCGCAATCTTGGCTCACTGCAACCTCTGCCTCCTGGGTTCAAGCGATTCTCCTGCCTCAGCCTCCTGAGTAGCTAGGATTACAGGCATGCACCAGCACGCCCGGCTAATTTTGTATTTTTAGTAGAGACGGGGGTTTCCTCCATGTTGCTCAGGCCGGTCTTGAACTCCTGACCTCAGGATCTGCCTGCCTTGGCCTCCCAAAGTGCTGGGATTACTGGCGTGAGCCAACGTGCCCAGCCAGAAGTTCATTTTTAACCTTCACTTGTAGGTACATTTGAGAAGAAAAGGTAGGCACTTTTTTTATAGTTGTTCTTGGCCCCAGGGTAGCTCGGTCTTCGAAAGAACTTAAATGTTGTGTTCCTAAGAGGGTAGGATGACCCTTAGGTAGAGTTTTACACTGTATCCAGCCACTATGATAAAAGAATATTTTTGAGAGCTTATTAGGTAACTAAGAAGCTAGAGATCACATCTGGTCTGTTTTATCACTGCCTTATTTAATTATTTATATCCTCAGCAACAAACTATTGGCATTGGGTATGTAACTAATTTTTAATCAATAAATGTTTACTGAATAAACGAATTCCTAGTACTGTGTTAAACATTGTGCAAAAAGAGCCGTGACAGAAATATGTAAAGAAGCCTGCATCTGCCTAGGCGCGGCGGCTCATGCCTATAATCCCAGCAATATGGGAGCCTGAGGTGGGTGGATCACTTGAGGTCAGGAGTTCGAGACCAGCCTGGTCAATATGGGGAAACCCCATTTCTGCTAAAAGTACAAAAATTAGCTGGGCGTGGTGGTGCCTGCCTGTAATCTCAGCTACTCAGGAGGCTGAGGCAGGAAAATCGCTTGAACCCAGGAGGTGGAGACTGCAGTGAGCCGAGATCATGCCATTGCACTCCAGCCTGGGGAACAAAGAGAGATTCCATCTCAAAAAAAAAAAAAAAAGAGAAGAAAAGAAAAAAGAAGTCTGCATCTTATTCTTATAAGCAAATCTGAATATTTCCTTCCAAAAGTAGTACCTTGTTTTAAGTGCCTCCGCTGATTCATCCCTAAGGTGGGAAAGACTTAGAGATCTTGGAGAAGACTCTAAATGAGCCAGGGACCAGAGCATTATTATACTGCTTGATTTGATCTGTAGATTCAGGGTCTAATGACTGCTCTGGAGTTTGTTCTTATGTTGCAGGTATACAGCTGTATCTGTTTGAGTTGTCATTCATCAACCAAGCAGTTTGACAATTAGGACCGTAAGGATGACCAGGCTGGGTCAGACCTATCCAGCAGGTTAAAGGTTATTCAAGTTATTCAAGTAGTGGTCCTCAAACCTGGTTATAAATCAGAATCACCTGGGGGAGCTTTGCAACTATATACAGACCCCACTCCAACCTACTGAGTTGGAATACTAGGACCTAGGAGAGAGACATGAGACTTTCACATAGGACTAGGGTTGAAAATGAGTAGTTCAAGATCCATCCAGTTTTACTCATATATGGCTCTGCAATTCATAAATGTTGCCCTGATTTTTTTTCTGTATTCTGATTGTATTCCCTCCCTGGGTAATGAGTGCCATGCATTTACTACCTACAGTTTGGAGTAGTCTTCCTTTATATTGGTCCTAAGCTTAACTCTCCTGGAACTTTGTAAGAGACATTGAAACCTAAGATTTGGGGATTTGAGAGATGAGTTCATGTTGATCTTACGCATGCCACTTGTAATATTATAGGTTGAGCTCTCCCACAGAGCTTGCTTAGCAGTCACATGCCCATTCTTGAGATTTTTCTTATTTCACAAGGAGCTCTGGCTTTATCGAGATCCATTCTGCACCATCTAGACAACCTTTGTCCACTTCGTGCAATAGGAGAAAAATAATATCTGTTCCTCTGATGATTGTGACCCAGGATGATTGCAGCTTAGGTCATTCAGGACAGGTAAGCACTTATTGCCAGCTTAGATTAAAGTCCTGTTCTGAGTCTAGTTAGCCTGTTAGCTTTGGAGAGACCAGGAAGGGAAATATTCTTGCATTTAAGGGCTCAAACACAAATGTATTCATTTGGAATGATAATCTAGATGGTTCATAGAACAGAGACCAGAAGAGGGAGTCAAGTGGAAGTATTTGTGGTAAAGTATAGAAGGGAATAAATAGAGAAGGAAAATACTAGGGTCATGTGCCTATGTACCTGCCAAATAGAAAGAAAAAAGATCTGGTTTAAGCACATCACATTCCTTTAAAAAAAAAAAAAAAGGCTAAGTGTTTGGAGATGAAGAGCCACAATTGGGGTGATCATTTGGGAATCTCCAAGTATTCTTTGGTGAATTAATGTTTCTAAGTTGCCTTATGCACACGTGAAAGAGAGAAAGAGAGGAGAGAAAGGGAGAAGTGTCATCAGGTCATAGCCTGTAGATCATCACCCTAGGCAAGTTAGGCCTGGCTAGAATCAGTCTGCATAGATAACTGGCTGGAGCCTGGTTGGAAATTTCTATACTCCAGTGATGAGATTTCTGGTTGTATTCCTAAGGGACCTCACAATTGACCCTGTTCTCAATTGATGCTATTAAAAAACTGGTCTTCAGGAATTGGTCCGCCCAAGATGAAAATACTGTAGACTCTGATTCCAATATAGGAGCTCAAAGATGCTCCGGCTGCTCTATGATCAGCCCTCAAAGTAATGATAGCTTTTTCTGGCATTTCCTTTCATCTAGAGATTTCAAAGTATCTCCTAAACATGTGCCCATCCCATAGGCAGCTGATGAAGCCACATCTCTGACATTCATCTTTCACCCCGGTCCTCCCCACAAATTGGAGACTGAGCTAGATATAGAGTGTGGGCCTCTGATTCAAGGTCTCACACTGAACGCCCACTCTCTCTCTCTTTGCTACCCAGTCTTAGGCAGTTTGTGGTTCTCCCACAGGGCGTAGCTCTGTGTAGGGGCCTGTGTATCAGATCTGCCTGCTTCTTTGCTGTCATCACCTCCTACTATTTACATTTCTGGGTTCCCTGGTGTCTCCGCAACTGGGCTGTGCCTTAGCTGTTCTGTATGTGAGAACTGTTGGAGAACCTCCAAGGATTCTTCATGTCTTGTCATCCTTCATCCCAATTCATACCCCCCACCCATGTGTCCCACCTCCCCCCAGCCAGCAAAGTACAGTCCTGTGCCCTTTGGTTTCTTCTTCCTCCTCCTCTCTCTCTATCCTCAACTTCCATTGGCAGAAGAAAGAGGAGCCACAGACCATGAGCTTGTAAGAGAGAGAGGAGTGGGAAGGAAGAGTCTTTTCTCTTGGGTTGCCTTTTTGTTCCCAGGGAGGGGGCCAAGACCATGAACCTTGGCCTCCGCGGGAGGAGGAGATTAGCAGGATGAGTCTTTACCTCCATCACCCATCCTCAGGGTGCTGCTGACTTGTTTCCGCTGGAGGCGGGATGACTCAGCGCAGACCCTTGATGGGGAAATCTGTCTCAGAGGCTGAAAGGAAAGCAACAGAGGGCCACCACTGGCCTTGTTCTTTAATTTAATTTTCATATCAGAAAGACTTCATTGAGTTTGGGGAAATGGAGCTTAATTCTCCCTGTTCCCCAGTGTTGGCAACTCCGAAAAGAATTTCCCAAAGGAATGACCCTGTCCACAGGAGTCCAAGAGAGATGGGCAGTGGGGTTCCAAATTCAGAGTGCGGGGATAGCCCCCCACCTGGAGGAGACCTTTATTTAGTCATACTCCACCACTGTGCTTTTGCCTACTAAATACTATAACCACCGGTGATCATTATGTGATAATTAGCACAGGCCTTTTTTATAACTCCCAGAGCACTACCCCAAAATAAGTGATTGTGTCAGGTGGCAAGGCTACTCCTAGAGACAATTCCTGACTCACTCATTCATTCACTAAATATTTAGTGAACTACTGTGGGCCAGGCCCTATGCTAGGCAGCCATGAGCAGGAAGGTTGTTGTCCCTGGTATTACAGTGCCGACATGTTGCTGGATGGCTAGGCACTGAGCAAGTTTACCCACGGGATATGTGTATCCAAAGTGGAAATGCAGTGTGTATAAGAGGGGCACCCAACTCAATGTGGCTGGGAGAGGGATAACAGGAAGCCTCCCCTATAATAGTAACTTTGAAGATGAGATCTGTAGGAGAGGCAGGAGCTAGCAAATGGAATCCAACTTAGGGTAAACCTATGCTATTTGTATGAGTTCCCCAAAACTTAAAGTTAAACCCAAAGTTGCCTCTTCATATAAACCCTCCAAAGTAACTAATAGGCTATGCCAGCTACAGTGCAGCCAACTCTACTTCCGTACAACGTGATGCTACTTTGGAAAAGTGTGAAATCCTACTTAAGTGGAAGGTGTAATTATTGCAGAGTATTTCAGGGAGGAAGATGGCACCAGGGAAATAGGCATGAAAATCAGGTTCTTCTATTATTTCCACAACCTGGTCTAATTCTCCATGCCCTTGGGATGGCCTGGGTCTGTGATAGGAAATATGTTTTTCTGTCTCTATTTGAGCAACAACATCCTTCTTATCAGCTGCTCCAATGAGGAAGACACTGATGTCCTTTTGCAGGAAACTAACAGGAAAAGAAAGAAAGCTTACCACTAAATACACATCCTGAGGGTGAAATGAAATGACTGCAGTGTAGGAAAGGGCTGAATAAATAAATACACCATTCCTATTGTATAGTCAGACTTCCTGGGGGCGAGTCCTCATCTCTTTACCCTGTCTTTCCCTTCTAAAATCCGCTAACCTGCCAAGGGACCGAACAAAGTTTTCTCTGGCTATTAACAGGTATGGAAACATACAAGTCTCCTCTGTCCCAGACACAGAGGAAACACAGAATAGAGAATAGGAAGGAGAGAAAACCAGAGCCACAGGAAGAGGAACTTGATATTGGTGTACATCTCCCCTTCATGTTTACAGAACTTTCCCAGCAACTTCTGCTTTGAGCCTTTCTGTGTACAAATCTGGTAATGTTTGGGAACATTTCGGGAGAGGAAAGGGCCAGGGCTAGTGCAGCTCAGAAAATCATCCGAACTCTTTAAATCACAGCTGCACAGGTGACTTGATTTAGAGGGAGAGGTGTAAACTGTCATTATCTGTGAATACTGAGCTCTAATCCTGTAGAGCTGCAGTGGAGACTGCTAGAGAAGATGATTCCTGATCTGAAAACAATTCCAGCCTGGAGGATCCTAAGGCATTTCCTTGTAAGGGTAGTTTTCTTCTGTGCGGAAAAGAAATGAAAGAACATGTGCAAATATGGGTGGGAGAAGAAGAAACAGAGACAGAGAGAGAGAGAGACAGATAAGTTGCAAAAACTTGGATCTTTGTATTTCTTTCTTTTCTTTTTCTTTTCTTTTCTTTTCTTTTTTCTTTTTTTTTTTTTTTTTTGAGACAGAGTTTCTTCTTTCTTGTTGCCCAGGCTGGAGTGCAATGGTGCTATCTCGGCTCACCGCAACCTCCGCCTCTCGGGTTTAAGTGATTCTCCTGCCTCAGCCTCCCAAGTAGCTGGGATTACAGGCATGAGCCACCGCACCCGGCCTGGATCTTTGTATTTCTACGGTGTTTTTAGTTTAAGGATCATTTACACTTTAGGAGGTTTTTGTTTTTTCTGTCTTTCTTATGTAATAATTATGGGTGAGCCCTGAGAAATGACTCAAAGCAAAAATAATGGGGTTTTCTTGATTATAGTTCCTCATTTTTCCTGGCCACAGGCCAACCCTCAATATCCTCCACCTTTATAAGGAAGACAGCTTCAACCCAGCCCTAAAGGGTGACTCCAGCCTCTTATGATCTTTCTTTCATGTTGCAAACTGGACTCTCTTCTTCCAACTTTCTAATTGCAAAATTGCTCTTTATTTTTATGGGTTCTTATTACTTCCAACCCAGGTGTGAAAATGTCTTCTTGGACACCCTTATCCCATCTGTAGGGCCTGTGTAGGTCCCTCTTTCTCTCATTCTTAGTTGAGGATTGACTGAGTAGACTGCACAATGATGACCATATTTTAAAAGGGACAAAGGTCACATAGCGAAGTCTCTGTTCATTCTCCCAGGCACAATCCCTTCTGTCTGGATTCTGGTTGGGGCCAGGCTCAGACTTTTGTGCATATAGGAGGTGCTGCCATAATTAGCCCATTTTGCTGGTTTTGTGCATACCCTTCTTGGTATAGGGCAGGCAGGAAATTAGACTGTGTTATGGATTTGGTGGTCATATTTTATGAACCCCAAATCTAGAATTGTGCTCTGGTGAGTATAGGGTGCTAATGGAAAAACTGAACAAAACATATGGAAATAAGGCCACCCTGGAAAAGTAATGAGAGTTCATAGTATTTCCTTCCAGTAGCTTGGAGAGAATATCAAATATCACATGTTTATTAATAATGTTGGTTTTTTTTTTGAGATGGAGTCTCGCTCTGTTGCCCAGACTGGAGTGCAGTGGCGTGATCTCTGCTCACTGCAAGCTCCGCCTCCTGAGTTCATGCCATTCTCCTGCTTCAGCCTTCTGAGTAGCTGGGACAACAGGTGTCCGCCACCATGCCCAATTAATTTTTTTGTATTTGTAGAGATGGGGTTTCACCGTGTTAGCTAGGATGGTCTCGATCTCCTGACCTTGTGATCCGCCCGCCTTGGCCTCCCAAAGTGCTGGGATTACAGGCGTGAGCTACCGTGCCCGGCTATTAATAATGTTAACAATAACTAATGATTATTGAGCATTTACTACATGTCAGGTCCTGAATTATGTATATTATTTCATTTACTCCTCATAAAAGGGTTCCTTCTAGGAGCTAGGGGAGAAAACCAGCCATTATATAGTCAATAATAATATTAATGGTAATAATAGTTATTATATATAACAGTTATATATTACATAACATATGCTGGCCCGAATTGAACATATTCTCTAATTTGATTTTTGAATATTTAAAAATATACACATATATTTGTTTTTTTTTTTTAAGAGATGGAGGAGTCTCACCATGTTGCCCAAGCTGGCCTCAAACCCCTGGCCTCAAGTGAGCCTCCCACCTCAGCCTCCCAAGTAGCTGCCACCATGCAGTCTCTAATTTAAATTTTAAACAAACCCTAGATGTTATTATTATCTTAGAGTAGGCTGCTTCTAAAATAGCTCCCAATGATCCTCTTGCTGGTCTTTACATCCTTGTGTAATCTCCTTGAGTGTGGGCTGGACCTAATGACTTACTTCTAACTCACAGGATGTGGCAACAGTGATGGGATGTCACATCTGTGATTGGATTACGAAAGACTGTGCCTTCTGTTTTGCTATTACTGTCTCTGGTGAGTCCTCTCTCTTGCTCTTGCTTGCTTGCACTGATGAAGTAAGCTGCCACGTTGTGAGATGCTCAACGAAGAGGCCCATGAGGCAGGGCACCGAGGGAGGCTTCTGGCCAACAGCTCCTGGGGAACCAAGGCCTTAGGAAGTGAGTCCTGCCAACAATAACGAGGTGAGTGAGGCAGGAAGCAGATCTGTCCCAACTGAGCTTGAGATGACTGTGGTCTTATAAGAGACCCAATGCCAGAGAGTTGACCCACAGAAACTGAGACGATAAACGTTCTTTTAAGCTACTGAGTTTTGGGGTAATTTGTTATGCAAGACAAGATAGCTAATATGTATCTCATTTTATAGATGAAGAAAATGAAGCTTTAGGGTGATGAATCAATGTTCCCCAAATTACACAGTTGGTAAATGGCAGAGCCAAAGCTTTTGGAACATACTAAGTTCGAGGTTCTAGGGTCTGAGTTTAAGTCTGCTTTCTCATGAGGTTCCAAGTGATTGGGACACTGCAGTTCTGGAAGAATTCTACTCTCTGAAATCCTTGGAGGATAGCCATGTTTCCAGGAAACTCTTTGTGTGCATAAAAACAGAGATGGACAAAAGTTTAAATGGTGCTAAGTGCTTTGAGTCGGTCCACTCCCTGCTGCAGAAGAATGGCTGATCCACCCATAGATCTGGTGATAGTAACCAGGAGCTCCAGTCAATAGCACAATGGCAGAACTCAGAGCTACAGCCCATCCATTTTTACAAGCGCTCAAGCCATATTATGTAAAGCAGGCGGAAGGGGGCATACACTTTTCTTGAGGATGAAAATGAATGCATTTAGTAATGAAAATGCATAGTGTGGTATTTAAAAATTACATGAGCTCTGGAATCAAATAACAAATGGTTCTGCCTGAGAGACCAGAACACCTTCTTTCACTGATTTTTTTTTCCTTCCCATCCCTGAAACAGAGCCTTGAACTTTGAAACCACAGTACCTTGTTCCAGCGTGGAAAGCAGCGTGGCACTTCCCGGTGGTGAAAGCACCCCAGCTTGAAAGGGTGAAAACACCTTCTCCCAGATAGTCTCCCTTTGTTTAGCCAGTGCTTTTGCCTTAAGGAAATCAAATGAAGGTATGCTCCTTGGTTGGCTGCTGAATCTGTCCTTCCTTGTCAGCTTTGCCCAGAGCAGCAGGCTTTGAGCTCTGGGAGGATTTCCAGGTGGCAGCAGAACAACGGTCCCATAGGCTGGAGCCTGGCACGCTTTCCCTTTTAACCAGTGGCAGAGGCTGCACTTTGCTGGTGTAATTATGCAACCTAGTGTAAAGTCCACATGGGTGGGGATAGGGGGTAGGCAAGGCAGGACTGTAAGCTGGCTCAGCACTCTGATTGGGTTTTTTGACTGTTTTTCTAGCTTTTCTTACCCTTTTCTCTCCTGCCCCCTCATCTCCTCCTCTTCCCTCCTTTTCCCTCCCCTTCTCTCTAATCCCTTCATCTTTGTCAGCCTCCACCCTCAGGGATCCCTAACTCAGGAAGCTACCTCTTATCAAATATTTTGGCTTGCCTCCAACTGCTAGTGGCAGGCAGTTCTGGCCCTTGTCTGCTATCTGAGCGATTTTCTTCTCCACCGGTTGTTTATTTCTCTAATCTAGTTGGAATTGGAATCGTGTGTAGAATCCAGAGGAAGAAAATCCAAAAGCAAAAAATGGATCCTTTCCCTAGTGAGATTGCCCCTGTGGGCTAAAATAGAAATGGAAAGAGACTTGGATTCTTTTCCCTTGAAAAGTGACATTATGAAAGAGCAGGAGAAACAGCATTAGTGTACAGGAAAGCCCAAGGCACACTATATCACTCCTCAGATATTGGACATCACTCTGAGTCCTCTATTTTCTGCTTAATTGGGATTATAAATGCTATTTTTGCCCCGAATGTACCTGCCATCTTGGTCGTGCCCAAGTGGCTCTGAACAGATACCATCTGCAGGACCTCCACAGCCAGCCATGCAACAGGAAGCTGCAGACTCCCAGACTCCAGTGTTCTTGTTTTCTGAGAGGGAGCCCTGAGAATGGTAGAGAAGCAAAAAACACAGGAAAGAAAAGAAAAAAGCTGGATGGAGTAATTACATGATAGGGTTACCTTGTGCACGTGAAAGCAAAATGTAGGGATACAAGCAATAACCCCTCCGGTACTGCACAGTCTTTGATAACACAATAGCCTTCTGTTATTTCAAGGCATGTTCCTTGAAACCTTCCTTAAGGTTTTCCCACTACTTACTGGGTTGTAACATATTTATTTTATATGTCCTTTCTTAACTGATATTCACAAAGAATAGGAATGATAGATGTGTGTATATGAGCAAAAGCATTTATACATGCTTTCTTTTTTTTTTTTTTTTTAGTGTATGAAATAGCGGCTGACTTTTGTGACAATTTTCCACCCAGTTTTGTGATAGTAATTTCGCTGCATTCTTCAACTTAGATGGCAAGTCCTCTTAGCAAGGCTGGCCTAATTCTATGTTTTCTATGGCACCTAGTCACTATGGCTGTGCAAGAGCCATTATTACCCAAAGTACCATAATAATGGTCATGTCCTCCTATGACGTTATTGTTTCCTATCTGTCAGGACATTAATTGTCTTCTAACTTGCTCTAAAATTGGTAGCATGGCACACTGCCAAGACTAGAGAGAAGCAAGCTGCTGGTGATATATTAAAAGGCTGTGTAAAAGGACATATTGGTATTTGCTTTTTCTTGGGGCATCTTCACATTTGCATTACTTCACATGTTATGGGATGTTAGCTCAGGCTTGCCTTATGTCTTGGCGTCTATCTTATCATGGTCAATGTCTGATCTTTCCTTCAGCTGAATGATTCAGACATCTCTAAGTTATTTTGGCTTTTCCACTTTCCTTTCACAGGCTTTTTGTGAGTCATTGAATTGAATGGGAGGTTATTTCTAAATTGGAAGGTGAGGAAGAGAGGAGGGGGAGGAAAGTTCCGGAAAATAACTAGGAAAAGGCACTTTATTGTTATGTATAGTTACTGGAGGAATAATTTCTGCTTAGTCTGGTGATAGAAGTATGTACTTTATTTAAACTTGACTAAAAATATAGGCTAGAAAAAAGACAATATTTTTCTGAATAATAAACCATACAGTTTTAGACTCTTTGTAGCTTGCTCTGCAAAGAACAAGGAGGTTAGTAAATAGAAGAAATATGAGACAAAGGGTTAGCAGAAAGAAGAAAGAGACAAAGCACATTTCCAAAGTCCACATCCTTGAGGTGAATGCCTCCTTGACAGTGTCTTTTTTTTTTTTTTTTTTTAAGACAGAGTCTCACTCTGTTGCCCAGGCTGGAGTGCAGTGGCACCATCTGCAGAGACAGGGGTTTCACCATGTTAGTCAGGCTGGTCTCAAACTCCTGACCTCAGGTGATCTGCCCGGCTCGGCCTCCCAGAGTGCTGGGATAACAGGCATGAGCCACCGCACGGCCTGACAGTGTCTTAAACTATCCCTGGGTGTTGTTTCATGGCCCATGGGTATATGTATCATAGGTGGGGTTGTGAGAAAGTACATTTAAATCTGATTTAGAAACTGAAAGAGTAATCAGACCAGCATTTTGTTATTTAGGAGCAGGAAAAGTGGGTGAAAAAAAAGGAAAAACAAAAAGCTAATGATGAATATATTTCTAGGAGCACAAGAGTTTTTATAGCAACATTAGATTTCTCAAAAATGCCTACTGTGATTTGTACCCAAGTGAATAAAAAATGCAATCATTTATTCTTGTGCATTGTGCCAAGTGAGGAAAAAAAAAAAACACACACACACACAACCCGGCAATTCATTCAATGGCCCTAATTTAGACTGCTAGGAAGAGGTTTAGAAAAAAAAAAGAGAGAGAGAGAGAGAAGCTTTTAAAGTATCTGACACACAGCTAGTAGGGCTATTTAAGAACTGCTGAACAGAAAAACAAAGTGGCAGTGAGAGGTGGGGGAAAGCAGAATTCTCATTTCCAGAGCATCATAAAGGGTATAATGTGGCCCGCTTATTAGAAAGTTGCTGGCCGGGCGCGGTGGCTTACGCCTGTAATACCAGCACTTTGGGAGGCCGAGGCGGGCGGATCACCTGAGGTTGGGAGTTCGAGACTAGCCTGACCAACATGGAGAAACCCCGTCTCATGCCTATAATCCCAGCTACTCGGGAGGCTAAGGCAGAAGAATCGCTTGAACCTGGGAGGCGTAGGTTGCGATGAGCCGAGATAGCACCATTGCACTCCAGCCTGGGCAACAAGAGAGAAACTCCGTCTCACAGAAAAAAAAAAAAAAAAAAAAAGTTGCTAATGGCTGTCTGGTCAATTGGCAGGGGTCAGCCAGGAGTGGATCTGGAAGCTGGAGAACTCTCAATACGCCACTTCAGTTTATTGACGACATTTATAATTGCAACCGAAGTTGACTGATTTCTGCTAAATGAAAGTTTGCGCTTTGCCCTTTAGCATTGAGGCTCCTGGAAAGAACTTCAATGAAATTGGATGCATTGAGACCAAAGAAAAGAAGGGGACATTTTTATCTCTCTGATACCTTTCTCCCCAGGGCTTGGAAACACTTCTTAAACACAACCTCTAATGTTGGTGTTTTGTAAGTACTACCCCTATGAATAAAGCTAGCAGAGATAAGCTTCTCCTTGCAGGAAGTGAGCTGGAGAAGTGGAAAAGTTTACAGAGAAAACTCTACAACAAAGACTTAACCCTTCCCGGGTAACCACGAATGTGAGCGTCTGCCCCTCCTTTGCTTTCTACTGCGCAACCAAACTGTGCACAAGCGTGAATCAACCTTAACCGTCACGTCTCTTGCCAGTTAGCTTAACAGACACTTTTAGCAGCCTATCATAACTTCGAATTGCCCAACCCTCAACCAATTACAACTAAAGCTTGGGCTAGGACGCTCCAGGTCCGGGCGGGGGCGAATACCGGGTTTAGGAAAAGGGGCGGTAAAGAGCGATGACGGGCGGGTATACTAAACCAATCAGAGAGGAGAGCTGCCGCCCCACTATCCAATGGATAGGTTAGAAGTATGAAAGAGGGTGGGCCTGTTGTCATGGGGGAGGTGGTGGCGCTTGGTGGCCACTGGCGGCCGAGGTAGAGGCAGTGGCGCTTGAGTTGGTCGGGGGCAGCGGCAGGTGAGTGCCGGTAACGCGGGTCAGAGATCTGGGGGCCGTCGCGGGGCGGAATCTCCAGCTCAGCACTCCGGAGGCGGAGGCCGGAGGAAGGGGGCCTGGACTTCGGGTCGGGGCCCGGGCCGGGGCCGGGGCCAGGGCGGAGGCGGCGGGGGCGGCGGCGAGTTCGCGCTGACTGGGCTAGGGGGAGAGGGGCTGGGCTTCTGGCTGCGGAGTTCTCCCGAGGAAGGTAGGCTACGGCCGGACCCGCGCGGGTCAGGCCAGGAGGTCCCTTGGGACGTCCAGCTGCTCCGGTCTAGCGCGCTGACCGGCGGCCACTGTGTGAGGAGTAGGTATCTGAGGAAACGGAAGCGGCCAGGGTCCCAGAGAGGGGGTGACCTGTAACGACCTGCTTCAAGGGCGGGGTGTCTTGGGAATACCCAGGACGGCTTGGGTGCCAGGGAGAAAAGGAATCCGGGAAGCCCGGCAGCGGCCGGTGAGGAGAGAGCGGGGTGGGGGGCAGGGGAACTGGGAGTGGCCCCGGTCCGAGGGAGGTAGGAAGGCCGAGGGTGGCCAGGGTCCCGGGTGACAGGGAGCAGACTTGCTCCAAGTAGGGGCGTCTGAGGAAACGCTCGGAGGGGGTTGGGGACCCTCCTGAGAAAAGCGGCTGTCCAAGGGAGGGGGCTCCTGGAGAGATGAGGAGCAGCAGGTCTTCGGAGGGTCGGACGAGTAGAGATCTTGCACCGCCTGGGGGAAGAACCGGAGCTCCCTGCGCCCCCATAGCTGAGCTGGGATGGGAGACCCAACTGGCCTGGCCGCTCCGGCTCTGAGGATCCCTAAGGGACCAGGAAAGAAGTCCTCGAGGAGTGGCTCGCGTTTGAGACCGGGGTGAGGAGCCAGCAGGGGAGTGGAAGTTCCCTCGGTCGGAGAGGAGTCATGCAAAATGGGACGGAGATGGGCGGAGGTGGGAGAGAATCCCTATAGGAGGGGATAAGGTAGAGAAAGAAAGTTGCCCGAGGAGAGAGTAATGGTTTCGTGGAACTGGCTAGGACAGTAGATATATGAGAAATTAACAGTGGAGCCATGTAGGTTCACAGGTCTTCACAAATAGAAGAAACTTCAGTTTCGTAATTAATATCAAGATGACATCTAGGACCAAAGCAAAGCTCCTAAAAGCAAGGTTAAGTGACTTGTTTTAGAAAAGAAATTTGTTTTAGGATGATGGCAGTAATATTAGGAAATAGGTTCATTGACAGGGTGGGGAATTTGGGAGGGAAAAGGGGAGGAGTAGCTGAACTAAAGGAGTAGAAGTAAATACTTATCAGAAAGAGGGTAGGCATACTCGGCTAAAGTGAAAAGAAGTTTTGAGTTCTAGTTCCACCACTTAGCTAAGTTTCTGTGCAGTTTCCTCATCAGAATACTAATAGTAATAGTTCCTACTTTATAAGGTGGTGGTGGTGTTTTTTTTTTCATGTGAGTTGGTATTTGTAGAGCTTTTAGGATAGTGACTGGCACATAGTCGTGTGTACTGGATTGTTCAATAGACGATAAAGACCTGACTTCTTAAATAGAAGGTAAAGACCTGGCTCGCAGATGTTAGCTTGCATCAAAATCACCTGGAGGGCTTGGTAAAATGTAGATTGCTTGGCCCCACCTGGGGGTTTCAGTAGGTCTGGGGTGGGGCCCAATAATTTATATTTATCTCAAATGATGATCACGTTGGTCAGAGGACCACACTTTAAGAACCACTTACTTTAATGAAACCGGTAATAATGGTAGCAACTTTAAAATACCTGCTAAAGAGACAGGTAGAGGCAAATTGCCTAAAAGATCCTATTATAAAGGATACTCATTTTTAGCCTGTGTTTTTCAAACTGTGGATTGTGATTTATTAGTAATTTATAAAATCAATGTTGTGAGTTTTTACCTGCATTGAAAATAAAATGTAGAACAGAATAAACTGACATTGCATTTGGTAAGGAAAAGTATTGTTTTGGGAAACTTTTCTCCTACATGTATGTACTAGGTCACAATGTAAAGTGTATTTCTTTTTTTGAGTTCCTGGCCAAAGGATAAAATATATTTCTTACAGTTAAAAAAGTCTGAAAGCTGGGTGCGGTGGCTCACGCCTATAATCCCAGCACTTTGGGAGGCCAAGGCGGGCGGATCACTTGAGGTCAGGAGTTCAAGATCAGCCTGACCAACATGGTGAGACCCCCATCTTTAAAAAAAATACAAAATTAGCTGGGCGTGGTGGCGCGTGCCTGTAATCCCAGCTACTTGGAAGGCTGAGGCTGGAGAATTGCTTGAACCCCGGAGGTGGAGGTTGCAGTGAGCCGAGATCATGCCATTGCATTCCAGTCTGGGCAACAAGAGTGAAACTCCATCTTAAAAAAAAAAAAAAAGGTTTTTTTGGGAGTATTATATTCCATTAAATTTCTTCAGTTTCTGATTTGGTTCCTCCTGTGTTTGTCTTGTCACATATTGTGTTATGCCTCTGACTCTGGAACTTTTTTGGATATTGAGAATCTTTGGCATGAGAACTTAAGGGAATCTGAGGCAGAGAAATTGAATGGTGTTTCTCAGATGTTGTCCGCTTTTGTTTCACTTGTGCCCTCTTGTTCACCCTTTCTTTTTTATCACTGTACCGTAAAGCATTGTTTGTAAAAGCCTGAGTATACACAGACATATTGACAGTAAACAACACTGAAATGGACTGACTTGAGAAAATTTCATGTATAGAAAATAAGCAAAAACAAAGTAAGAAACACTGCAAAAGAGAAAAATGAAAAGATATTTCCTTTTTAGAGAGTAAAAATATTAAGTATTTCTTATCCTTACACTAATATAAAACATATACAGATATTTTTAAAGGAACTAGATATACAGTTTCTAGGTCTTTGTAGAGAAAAGAAATAGTGGTAATATGTGACAGCAAAATGCACCTGGGATAGAGGCTTAACTACAAAGTAAATCATTTATTAAGAGGGAGCTTTTGTTTAATGGTTTTCTCCCTTGAGAATAAACTGGATGTGGTACATGTTGTAAACTTAACTTGTTTGAGGAACCTAAATGTAATTTACAGCGTGTTTTTAAAAAGAATATGTATGTTTTATCTGTACGTGGTTTGATTTTTCTTCCATTGAAAGCTAGATGGTTTATATTTAGGAGTTGATTTAGATCTGTTTTTATGGCTGTTAAGAACAGGAAGCAGTATTGAAAACTGAAAGAGATCCTTGCAGCTTTCTTTAAAATCTTTAATCCAGGGGATTATGTAACCTCTTCATTAATGTTTTATGAAATTGTGAAGAAACTGTTGGTATAGCTTTGCATCAGGATTTTTGGTTTATTTTTTTCTCTCTCAAAAATAATTTTTAGTTTTATTTCAGATTATATTTCCTTAAAATTTTTATTTTCATTTGGAAGACTGCAAGGCATATAACCATTGCATATCTGAGTTCTAAAGCAGATGCAGACTTTTCACAAAATAAATTTACTGCTTTTTTTCTGTGACATAAGTTTCGAGAAGGAAAGCTTTTGATTTCTTGCATTGAGTTCAGTGGATTATTCTTAGCACTAGAGTTGTTGTTGAAGTCATGGTACATTTATATAGATCATTCAGTTCTACACCAAATGATGGAAGAATGAGAAATCCTATATGACAAATAGAAAAGTTCATTCTTCATAATTGAGAACATTGAGCAGTTTGATTACCTGGTTTTAATAAGTGGACTTATTAT
This sequence comes from Homo sapiens, assembly GCF_000001405.40. Lineage (NCBI taxonomy): Eukaryota > Metazoa > Chordata > Mammalia > Primates > Hominidae > Homo > Homo sapiens. Next base: position 73,454,776 of record NC_000014.9, on the reverse strand, counting down.
TCATCTGATTATACTTATCTAGGAATAGCTTTGATTGCCCAAATAATTTTACAGTGGGATTTGGTTGTCTGTAGTTGAATAAATGGTGGTTTTTAAATCCCAAAATCCTAACTGTGCTATTTAGTGAGACTCAGTTTCACATACTGAAGTTTTATTTAGGTAAGTGATTTTAAAAAGTAGAAGTTCAATTAACACTAGTTAATTAGGTTTATTTTCTATTTCAGAGAAGCCTTGTCTTGTTTTATAAGTCTCTGATCTACTTTTCTGCTTCCTGCTCTCCAACTCGCTGTACAATAAATTCTAATAGAAATGTGGGTAACTGAAAATCTAGTTCTCTAAAAGTATAAAACCCCTATATCTAGTTTTTTAGTTTGCTTCGAAACTTCCTAAACTAATTACCTTTAAAAAAGTATTTTATATAATAGAGTACTTGAAAAGCTACATTTTACTTTGGACTTGCCAAAACACATCTGTTGTGTGTAACAGGTTTTGATTTCTAGAGAATAGATCTTGAATTCTGCAGATTTCTGAACTCTGATTTTTTTCCTTTTTTTTTAAAAAAAAATTCAACTTTTAGTTTAGATTCTGAGAGTACATATGCAGGTTGGTTATATGGGTATATTGTGTGATGCTGAGGTTTGAGGTATGATTGGTCCTGTCACCCAGGTAGTGAGCATAGTACCCAATAGTTCTTCAACCGTTCCCCCCCCGCCCAACTTTTTCCCTCCCTCATTTTATGTTTTCCTGATAGGGCTGGGGAGAAATAAAACAATATACTCCTTAAATTAAAAAAAAATTTTTTTGCTATCTTATTTTTTTAATCTTGACATTATAGTGCATCCTTTAGTGGCAAAGAAAATTTGTTTAAGGGGCCGGGTGCGGCGGCTCATGCCTTTAATCCCAGCACTTTGGGAGGCCGAGGCAGACGGATCACGAGGTCAGGAGATCGAGACCATCCTGGCTAACACAGTGAAACCCCATCTCTACTAAAAACACAAAAAATTAGCTGGGCATGGTGGCACGCGACTGTAGTCCCAGCTACTCGGGAGGCTGAGGCAGGAGAATGGCTTGAACCTAGGAGGCGGAGGTTGCAGTGAGCTGAGATCGCGCCACTGCACTCCATCCTGGGCGACAAAGCGAGACTTTGTTTTGAAAAAAAAAAAAAAGGAAAATTTGTTTTAGTAATGTAACATATTATAAATTTTATTATAAGAGGTAGAAATACAATACAGGGCTTTAGGATGTATGTTCAGCTGCAACACACAGGTAGTGATAAATAAGATATCATTAAATACTAGGTACAATATTGCCATATATTTTGGAGATTATTAAACGTGCACTTTGAGGCTAGGCGTGGTGGCTCATGCCTGTAATCCCAGCACTTTGGGAGGCTGAGGCGGGTGGATCACCTGAGGTCAGGAGTTTGAGACCAGCCTGACCAACATGGAGAAATCCCGTCTCTACTAAAAATACAAAATTAGCCGGGCGTGGTGGCACATACCTGTAATCCCAGCTACTCAGGAGGCTGAGGCAGGAGAATCACTTGAACCCAGGAGGCGGAGGTTACAGTGAGCCAATAGCACGCCATTGTACTCCAGCCTGGGCAACAAGAGAGAAACTCCGTCTCAAACAAAACAAAACAAAACAAAAAGAAACCATAAAAAAAAGTGCACTTCGAAATCTTGAGGCAAAAGGAGGATTGAAATGAAGGGAGAATAAGGAGAATACTGACGTGCTTAAGGGAGGAGTCTGGAGGATCTACAGGAAGTGTATCTAGAGGAATGAGTGGTTCTTGGCAGTTTTCCTGGAGTGACATATGTAAAGGAGGATGATTCTATTTGCAACATTCTCCTATGGACTTATTTTTCATTCTCTGCAGTTTCTGCTGCTTGTTATTACTCTTCCTTTGTTTTCTTCCCCTCAAGAAAGCATGTCAGAAGACAAGTAAGTAGACTGAGAAGTGGTAGTCCTAGAGGATGAGAGCCTTGGAAGGACCATGTGGATTTAGAAGAAGGCTCTTCTTATCTCTGCTTCTGCAGCTCTTGGGAGGTCCCCAGCAACCTTAACTAGACCAACCTTTCCCACTTGTCCTCTCCAGTGGAGTATGGGATTAGGAAGAGACCCCCAGTCATCTTAAATGCATTAACCAAGGAGTTGCTATATTAGTAATTAACGTTCAGTGACTTCCCCCTCTCTACCCACGAAAACCCTGTTTCTCCCCACTTGTTTGCTGATAAGTTACGTTCCTTTTTTTTGAGACGGTGTCTTGCTCTTTTGACGTGGAGGGAGTATGCAGTGGCATGATCTCGGCTCACTGCAGCCTCAACATTCTGGGCTCAGGTGATCCTTCTGCCTCAGCCTCTCCAGTTGCTGGGACTACAGGCTGCCCAGTTTTGTTTTGTTTTGTTTTGTTTTTGAGACAGAGTTTCGTTCTCGTTGCCCAGGCTGGAGTACAATGGCACAATTTTAGCTCACCGCAACCTCCACTTCCTGGGTTCAGGTGATTCTCCTGCCTCATCCTCCCTAGTAGCTGGGATTACAGGTGTGCACTACCACACCCCGCTAATTTTTGCATTTTTAGTAGAGATGAGGTTTCACCATTTTGGTCAGGCTGGTCTTGAACTCCTGGTCTCAGGTGATCCATCCACCCTGGCCTCCCAAAGTTCTGGGATTCCAGGCGTGAGCCACCACGCCTGGCCAGTTTTTTTTTTGGGGGGTAGAGACAGGGTCTTGTTAAACTCCTAAACTCAGGCAGTCCTCCCAAAGTGTTGGGATTACAGGCATGAGCTACCGTGCTCAGGCTATCTTACGTTCTTTTAACCAAGATCAAAGTCTTCAATTACCTGAGTAGGACAGCAAAATCTTAATTATGGTAACTTGATTATATTAAGGTGAATTATAGTTAATTTGGAACATTTCTAGTTTAATTAGGGAAGAAGAGGGAAAAACTGTAGAATACTGCTTAGCTCTGAATAAAGGCAAAGCTGGGGCAACCAGGGACACAGAAATCAGCTAAATTTGTAACTTTATTTAAGATTGGCCTTGGTTACCTTTGACTTTGGAAAAGTAATAGTGATACTTTCGTCTAGTCACTTGTGCATATGTACATCTCAGGTACATTTTGATTTTATCATGTAGATAATTTGTGAAGGTTTATTTACTTAATTTATTTTATTTAAAGATGCCCAGGCTGGAGTGCAGTGGCACAATCTCGGCTCACTGAAATCTCCACCTCCCAGGTTCAAGCAATTGTCCTGCGTCAGGCTACCGAGTAGCTGGGACTACAGGGGCATGCCACTATGCCTGGCTAATTTTTGTTGTAGGTTTTTTTTTTTTTTTTTTAGACGGTGTCTCCTCTGTTGCCCAGGCTGGAGTGCAGTGGCTCAATCTTGGCTCACTGCAACCTCCGCCTTGTGGGTTCAAGTAATTCTCCTGCTTTAGCCTCCCGAATAGCTGGGACTACAGGCACACGCCACCACACCTGGCTAGTTTTTTGTATTTTTAGTAGAGATGGGGTTTCACCATATTGGCCAGGCTGGTATTGAACTCCTGACCTCGTGATCTGCCTGCCTCAGCCTCCCGAAGTGTAGATTTGTTTTTTGTTTTTTTTTTTTTTTTTTTTTGAGACAGAGTCCTGCTCTGTCGCCCAGGATAGAGTGCAATGGTGCAATCTTGGCTTACTGCAACCTCCGCCTCCTGGGTTCAAGCAATTCTCCTGCCTCAGCCTCTCAAGTAGCTGGGATTACAGGTGCCAACTAGCATGCCCAGCTAACTTTTTTGTATTTTTAGTAGAGACGGGATTTCACCGTGTTGCTCAGGCTAGTCTTGAACTCCTGGCCTCAAGTGATCCTCCTGCCTCGGCCTCCCAAAGTGCTGGGATTACAGGCGTGAGTCACTGCGTTTGGTTTATTTACTTAATTTCTTTTAATATAAGCGACTTTGTTATAAGAAGTTTTAACTCCCAGTATTCTGTTTTGTTTTTTTTTTTAAGATGGGGTCTCGCTCTGTCTTCCAGGCTGGAGTGCTGTGGCACGATCTCGGCTCACTGCAACCTCCGCCTATCAGGTTCAAGCGATTATCCTGCCTTCCGAGTAGCTGGGATTACAGGCGTGTGCCACCACGCCCGGCTAATTTTTGTATTTTTAGTAGAAACAGGGTTCCGCCATATTGGCCAGGCTGATCTCAAACTCCTGACCTCAAGTAATCCACCTGCCTTGGCCTCCCAAAGTGTTGGGATTACAGGCGTGAGCCACTGCGCCCAGCCTAGCTCCCAGTATTCTTTAATCAAGATAAAACTTTTTTTTCCTCCAAACTAGTATCTCACAGAACCATAGAATAGCCTGCTGATGACAGAAATATATTTGTGACTGCCATGTTATGAAATTGAAAGAGCATCATTTATGTCCAGAGGCAGCATGACAGAATGGACAAAATTCATTATAATTGTGTGACCATGATTTTGAATCTTGACTTTATCGTTAATTTACTAATTGAGCAGTTTATTAAACTTCTTTTAGATTCAGTTTCGTCATCCATAAAATGGAGCTTATGCTATCCTCCACATCAGGGTGATGGTGAGAATTAAATGAAAAGCATTTTGTGTAGTGTATAGCATTTTGCCCATAGTGGGCACTTAACAAATTGTAATTGTTAATTATTAATAATTATCACATTAGATCTATTATAGACTTCTCTTTTAGGATGGGCTAATATTCCAGATACTGTTATTGTAAGCATTGTGGCAGCTAGGAAAACCAGAGTCGACTTTAAAACATTACAGGTATTTTAAGGCTGGGCGCGGTGGCTCACATCTGTAATCCCAGCACTTTGGGAGGCCAAAGTGGGCGGATCACCTGAGGTCAGGAGTTCGAGACCAGCCTGGCCAACATGGCGAAAGCCCGTGTCTACTAAAAATACAAAAATTAGCTGGGAGTAGTGGTGCATGCCTGTAATCCCAGCTACTCAGGAGGCTGAGGCAGGAGAATTGCTTGAACTTGGGAGGCAGAGGTTGCAGTGAGCCGAGCCACTGCACTCCAGCCTGGGCGACAGAGTGTGACTCTGTATCAAAAAACAAACACCAAAACATTACATATATTTTAAACATTTACTACTTCAGTTTGTTTTTGTGGTTGGTTTATTTTGGTGTATTAGACTGAAACATGGGGTAAATGAAGCTAATATTTTGTTGTGTGGTCACAGGCTGTTTATCTATCATATTATAGTCAGCCCTTATCTGTGTATTCTGCATCCTTGGATTCAACCAGCAGTTGATAGAAAATATTTGGAAAGAAAACCCAATAAAAAATAAAACAATACAAATAATACGAATAAATACAGTATAAGTATTTACATAGCTTTTACATTGTATTAGGTATTATATTAATAAGTAATCTAGAGATTATATAACATATATGGGAGAATGTGTGCAGGTTATATGCAAATACAGGTATCAGTGGGGGATTGATTCCAGGACCCCAATATACCAAAATCCATAGATGCACAGGTCACTTATATAAGATGGTGTAGTATTTACATATAACCTGCACACATTCTCCCGTATACTTTGAATTATTTCTCTAGATTAATTATAATACTTAATATTAGGTTGGTGCAAAAGTAATTACAGCTTTTGCCATTAAAAGTAATAGCAAAAACACAATTACTTTTACACCAACCTAATATGATATAAATGTTATGTACATAGTTATACTGTATTGTTTAGGGTATAATGACAAGAAAGAAAAGTAGGTACATGTTCATTACAACCATCCATTTTTTTTTCCGAATATATTTGATGCAAGATTGGTTGAATCCTCCTGTGTGGGACCCATGGATACAGAGGACCGACTGTACTATGCCATTATACATAAGGAACTGGGATATCTGCAGATTTTGGTATCCATGGGGTCCTGGATCGAGTCCCCCTCAGATACCAAGATGTGACTGTACCTGGTCCTCTTCCAAATACATGTGAGTTTTTGACAACAGTGGAAACCATTAATCCTACTACTAGAAAAAAACAATTGAGCATTATATTATTTACTGATTTTGTTATTAAAATCATTGCTTTTATTGAATTATTTTATTTACTGATATTGTTAATGATTTTAAATTAGTTCTAAATGCCAGTTAGAACCAGCTTATTTTTCCCTGGAGTTAATATATTTATCTTCGCAATTCAAGTAGAAATAGTTTTTATTTCAGAATTTAAGCCCTGTATCTTCCTTAGATAAGGATTTGGTCAAATGAAAGAAAAATCTGTATTTGTAGAAAGCTGTTAAAATCTGGCCTGGTGTGGTGGCTCATGCCTTTAATCCCAGCACTTTGGGAGCCAAGGAGGGAGAATTGCTGGAGCCTAGGGTTTTGATAAAAGCCTGGGCAACGTAGCAAGACCCTATCTCTATTATAAATTAAAAAAAATAAAGCTGTTAAAAGCTATATTATTTATTGTCTCTGATGAAAGGTGTACAATTTCCATCACATTCATGATGTAATAGACTTCAAATCTCATCAGTGAACATAATTTTGAATTATTATTTTAAAGAGTTGATTCATTCTTGTTTTTGAAAATTATCTAGCATTGGTGGTATGAAGGAAAGATATTTCCTGTAGTAGCCAAGTAAGTCTTCCTTAACTCTTGCAAGGAAAGCAGTCCCAAATACTATATTGAAAATATTAGAGGCCAGATGCGGTGGCTCATGCCTGTAATCCCAGCAGTTTGGGAGGCCGAGGCAGGCGAATCACTTGAGCTCAGAGTTCGAGACCAGCCTGGCCAACGTGGTAAAACCCAGTCTTTACTAAAAATACAAAAAAGTAGCTGGGTGTGGTGGTGCATGCCTGTTGTCCCAGCTACTAGGGAGGCTGAGGTGGGAGAATCGCTTGAACCCGAGGGTTGGGGGTAGGGTAGGGGGCATTGTAGTGAGCCATGATTGTGCCACTGCACTCCAGCCTGGGTGACAGAGTCAGCCTCCATCTCAAAAAAAAAAAAAAATCGGCAAGAAAATGAACTGCAAATGTCCATTTACATGACTGGTCATTTATAAAAATGTTAACATGTTACATCAAATGTTGTTCTTTATTTTTTCTTTTCTTTTTTTTTTTGTAGAGATGAGGTCATTCTATGTTGCGCAGGTTTGTTTGTTTTTTTTTCCTTTTTAGTGATCCTCCTGCCTCAGTCTCCCAAAGTGCTGGGATTATAAGTGTCAGACACTGTGCTCAGCCTATTGTTCATTTCTTAGTATCTTTCTGTAATACTCTAGACTAATTTTATATATATTTATTTATTTTTTGAGATGGAGTCTTGCACTGTCGCCTGGGCTGGAGCGCAATGGCGTGATCTCGGCTCATGGCAACCTCCACCTCTTGGGTTCAAGTGACTCTTCTGCCTCAGCCGCCTGAGTAGCTGGGATTACAGGCACCTGCCACCACGCCCAGCTAATTTTTTGTATTTTTAGTAGAGACGGGGTTTCACTATGTTGGCCAGTCTGGTCTCGAACTCCTGACCTCGTGATCTGCCCACCTTAGCCTCCCAAAGTGCTGAGATTACAGGCGTGAGCCACTGCACCCGGCCTATGCTGGTTTTTTTTTTTTTGAGATGGAGTCTCGCTCTGTTGCCAGGCTGGAGTGCGGTGGCACAATCTCGGCTCACTGCAACCTCCGCCTCCCGGGTTCAAGCGATTCCCTTGCCTCGGCCTCCCCGAGTAGCTGGGACTACAGGGTGCGCCACCACGCCCAGCTAATTTTTTGTATTTTAGTAGAGACTGGGTTTCACTATGTTGGCCAGGTTAGTCTCAATCTTCTGACCTCATGATCTGCCCATCTCGGCCTCCCAAAGTGCTGGGATTACAGGCGTGAGCCACTGCGCCCGGCCTTATTTTTATTTTTAAAAAAGTTATTTAAAAATAGAACTGGGGTCTCACTATGTTGCCCAGGCTGTTCTCCAACTCCTGGGCTCAAGTGATCCTTCTGCCTCAGCCTCCCAAAGTTAATTTTATGTTTATTTATTAATTTTTTTTTTTTAAGATATGAGGTCTTGTTATGCTGCCGAGGCTAGTCTTGAGCTGCTAGCCTCAAGTGATTCTCCTGCTTTGGCCTCCCAAAATGCTCTAGACTAGTTTTAGAAACCATACAGTTTGGCATTTTGTCATGTTAAGGATTTTTTTTTTTTTTTTTGAGACAAAGTCGCACTCTGTCGCCCAGGCTGGAGTGCAGTGGCACTATCTTGGCTCACTGCAACCTCTGCCTCCCGAGTTCAAGTGATTCTCCTCCTCAGCCTCCTGAGTAGCTGGGATTACAGGGTGTGCCACCACGCCTGGCTAATTTTTGTATTTTTTAGTAGAGACGGGGTTTCACCATATTGGCCAGGCTGGTCTCGAACTCCTGACCTTGTGATCTACCCGCCTTGGCCTCCCAAAGTGCTGGGATTACAGGCGTGAGCCACCGCGCCCAGTTTAGGATTTTTTTTTAAAGTTATTTTGCAAGTCTGGTGATGGTGGCTAATGCCTGTAATCCCAGCATTCTGGAAGGCTGAGGCAGAAGGATCACTTGAGGTCAGAAGTTTGAGACCAGCCTGGCCAACACAGTGAAACTTCATCTCTACTAAAAATACAAAAATTAGCCGGGTGTGGTGGGGAGTGCTTATAGTCCCAGCTACTCGGGAGGCTGAGGTAGGAGAATCACTTGAACCTGGGAGGTGGAGGTTGCAGTAGGCTGAGATCGTGCCACTGGACTCGAGCCTGGGCGACAGAGCAGGACTCCATCTCAAAAAAAAAAAAAAAGAAAAAGTTATTTTGCAATATTAAATTTCATTTCTTCATAAGTTGTTAATTTTTTGCAGTCAGGACTTTTATCTTTTTTGTTATTCTCTGATTTACATAAATGTACTGATGAATGATGGAACCCCTCCCCCACATTGGGGGCTGAGTTTATGACGTGAACTAATAGGAGGTGGTATGGTAAAATGAACTCCAATTGCCTGAATTCACCTTCAGCTCTGCTTTCTTAGGCAAGTTAACTCTTTTTGCTGGTTTTCTTATCTTCAAAATAAATGGCTTTGAAGGTTATATGAGATAATCCATGTAAAGTTAAACAATTTAACATACTGTTTAGTTCATAGTAAATGCCCAGTAAATGTTAGCTACATTTACTGTTGCAAGGACCCAGCATTTTTACCGAAGCAGGTGGGAGGTAAAAAACTTTCTCTGTGTTATTTGTGTGGACTGGAAAAGAGTCTTGTATATTAAATTGTACTATGAAATTTAAACTTCATTTAGACATGAAAAGGAATCTTGAATTCTTTTTGACTTTGTCACATTTTCAGTCTAGTCCATCTCTGGAAAAACGTGAATCTTTATTTTATCCAGCTATAAATCAGCTGTAAGTTTTTTTTTTTTTTTTTTTTTTTTTTTTTTTTTTTTTTTTTTGAGACAGGGTCTCACTTTGTCACTCAGGCTGCAGTACAGTGGCACCATCATAGCTAACTGCAGCCTTAAACTCCTGGGACTCAGGCAGTCCTCTTGCCTCAGCCTCCTGGGTAGTTGGGATTACAGGTACATGCCATCATGTCCACCTAATTTTTAACTTTTTTTGTAGTGTTGGGATCTCCTGTGTTGCCTAGGCTAGTAAATTCTTAAATATCTGCACCCACGTTAGTAGTGTTACAGCTAATCTCTAAATTCTTTTGAATTATGAAATATAGCTAGGGAACCTATTAGATAAATTTTCATTAGGCTTGACCTCTTTTATTTAAGATAATATTTAAGTACTGTATTGAATCTCCTTGGCATTGGGTATCTTTATCAGTGGTTCTCAATTTGTTCCCTGCAAGTCTCTCGTTTGGGGAGGATGTTTTCTGCAGGTATCTAGAGTTCTTAAATCCATATATTCATCAAATATTGCCTACTTTCTTTTTTTTTTTTTTTTGAGACGGAGTGTCACTCTGTTGCCAGGCTGGAGTGCAGTGGCGTGATCTCGGCTCACTGCAACCTCCGCCTCCTGGGTTCAAGCAATTCTCCTGCCTCAACCTCCTGAGTACCTGGGACTACAGGCGCACGCCACCACGCCTGGCTAATTTTTGTATTTTCAGTAGAGATGGGTTTCACCATGTTGGCCAGGAAAGTCTCGATCTCTTGACCTTGTGATCTAGAGAAAAATTGTAGACTAAAGCAATATGTTCTAAACATATGTATGTATGTATATATAGTTTCATTCTTCAAATAAATATTGAGATGAGTTTTAAACATCTTTATTTTAAAGGCTTGCCTCAATTCAGGGTAGCTTTGGTTGTGTTTTGATTATTTTCTCCATCAATGGATGCTGAAAATTCAGCTATTACCATGTGAGGATCAGTTAAATATTTTGACTTTTTTTTTTTTTTTTTGAGATGGAGTCTTGCTCTGTTACCTAGGCTGGAGTGCAGTGGCACGATCTGGGCTCACTGCAACTTCCGCCTCCCGGGTTCAAGCAATTCTCCTGCCTCAGCCTCCCGAGTAGCTGGGACCACAGGTGCATGCCACCACACCTGGCTAATTTTTTGTATTTTTAGTAGAGACCAGGTTTCACCGTGTTAGCCAGGGTGGTCTCGATCTCCTGATGTCGTGATCCACCAGCCTTGGCCTCCCAAAGTGTTGGGTTTACAGGCATCCGCCACTGTGCCCAGCCAATATTTTGACCTTTAAAAAGGTTTGTCATATTTAAAAGCTCTCGGCCCGGGCAAGGTGGTGCGTGCCTGTAATCCCAGCCACTCAGGAGGCTGAGGCAGGAGAATCACTTGAACCCGGGAAGTGGTGGTTGCAGTGAGCCGAGATTGCGCCACTGCACTCCTGCGTGGGGGGACAGAGTGAGACTTTGTCTCAAAAATAAATAAATACTTTGGGAGGTGGAGGAGGGCAGATTGCTTGAGCTCAGGAGTTCGAGAGGGCAACACAGTGAAACCCTGTCTCTACTAAAATACAAAAGAAATTAGCTGGGCTTGGTGGTGGGCGTCTGTAATCCCAGCCACTCGGGAGGCTGTGGCTGGAGAATTGCTTGAACCCGGTAGGTAGTGGTTGCAGTGAGCTGAGATCACGCTACTGCACTCCAGCCTGGGAGACAGAGCAAGACTCCAGCTCAATGAATGAATGAATCAATCATCAATCGATCAATCCTCTCAGCCTGTTTTTTCTACTTTTTTTTTTTTTTTTTGAGATGGAGTTTTGCTCTTGTTGCCTAGGCTGGCGTGCAATGGCATGGTCTCGGCTCACTGCAACCTCTGCCTCCCAGGTTCAAGCAATTTTCCTGCCTCAGCCTCCTGATTAGCTGGGATTACAGGCGTGCGCCACCACGCCTGGCTAATTTTGTAATTTTAGTAGAGATGGGGTTTCACCATGTTGGCCAGGCTGGTCTGGAACTCCTGACCTCAAGTGATCCACCCGCCTCAGCCTCCCAAAGTGCTGGGATTACAGGCGTGAGCCACTGTACCCATCCTTTTTCTACTTTTTTCTTACCCAAACATACCATTTTCAGAAAGGCTAGTATAGTTCTCTTCCCCCACCATGGCATGTGCATTTTAAAAATAGCTTTATTCAGGTACAATTGATGTACGGTGAAACTGCACGTATTTAAGGTAAACAGGGCTGGGTGCAGTGGCTCAAACCAGTATTCCCAGCACAGTGCTTTGGGAGGCCAAGGAAGGCAGATTGCTTGAGCTTGGGAGTTTGATATCAGTCTGGTCATCATGGTGAAACTCCATCTCTACAAAAATGCAAAAATTAGCCAGTCATGGAGGCATGTGCTTGTAGTCCCAGCTACTCAGGAGGCTGAGGCAGGAGGATCACTTGAGCCGAGGAGGTAGAGGTTGCAGTGAGCTGAGATTGCACCACTACACTCCAGATGGGACGACAGAGCCAGACCCTGTCTCAAAAAAAGAAAAAAAAGTAAATGGTGTAATGAGTTTTTACATATGTATACACTACAGCTAAGGTAAGGAACATACTGATCACTCCAAAAGTTTTCTACCTTTTGTAATACATCTCTCCCTTTCTATTCCCGCAGGCAACTCCTAATCTGCTGTCTGTCATTATGGATTAGTTTGCAATTTCTAGAATTTTATATAAATAGCATCATGTAGTATATACATATATTTTTTTGTCTGACTTCTTTCATTCTGCCTAATTAATTTGAGATTTTCCATGTTATTTGTGTATCAATATTTCATTACCTTTTATTGTTGAGTAGTATTCCATAATATGGATATATTGCAATTTAAAAAATTTCTTCTGCTGATAGACATTGGATTATTTCTAGTTTTTGGCTATTCAAATAGAGCCAATATGAACATTCACATAAAAGTTTTTGTGTGGACATGTGTTTTCATTTCTTTTTTCCTTTTAAAACAATTTAAACAATTTATTATTATTATTATTTTTGAGATGGGATCTTGCTCTGTAGCCCAGTCCAGAGTGCAGTGGTGCAATCATTGCTTACTGCAGTTTTAACCTCCCAGGATCAAGAGATGGTCCCACCTCAGCCTCTGAGTAGCTAGGACCATAGGCATGCACCACCACTCCTGCCCGTTTTTTTTTTTTCTTTCTTTTTTCTTTTTTTTTTCTTACAGAGACAGGGTCTCTCACTATGTTTCCCAGGCTGGTCTTGAACCCCTGGGCTCAAGCTATTCTCCTGCCTCGGCCTCCCAAAGTGCTGGGACTACAAGTGTGAGCTACTGTGCCGGGTCTCTTTTCATTGTTTTTGTGTATATGCCCATAAGTAGTGGAATTGCTAGGTTATATGGTAACTCTTTTGAGGTTTTCTAAAGCAGCTACACCATTTTACATTCTCACCAGCAGTGAGAATGAGAATTCCAGTTTTTCTGCATTGTCGCCAACAATTGTTATTACCTCTTTTATTTTATTTTTTTTATTGTTGTTTTGAGACAGAATTTTGGTCTGTCACCCAAGCTGGAGTGTAGTGGGCATGATAGCTCACTGCAGCCTCAAACTCCTGGCTCAAACTATCCTTCCACCTCAGCCTCCCTAGTAGCTAGGACTGCACCACCATGCCCAGCTAATTTTTATTTTTTAAATTTTTTGGTAGAGATGGGGTCTTGCTATGTTGCCCAGGATGGTCTGGAACTCCTGGCCTCAAGCGTTTCTTTCTCCTCGCCTCCCAAAGTGTTGGGATTACAGGTGTGAGTCACAGCTCAGGCTGATCTCTGCTTTTTGAGTAGAGCTATTCTAGTGAGTATAAAGTAGAATTTTTTTTTCTTTGAGATGGAGTCTTGCTCTGTTGCCCAGGCTGGAGTGTGTGGCGTGATCTTGGCTCACCACAACCTCTCCCTCCTGGGTTCAAGCTATTCTCCTGCCTCAGCCTCTCAGCTGAGGCGTGCACTACCATGCCAGGCTAATTTTCGTATCTTTAGTAGAGACGGGGTTTCACTGTGTTGGCCAGGTTGGACTCGAATTCCTGATCTCATGATCTGCCTGCCTTGGCCTCCCAAAGTACTGGGATTACAGTGAGCCACTGTGCCTGGCCTAAAGTAGAAATTAATTGTGGTTTTGATTTGCATTTCCCTGATGGCTAGTGATGTTGAGAATCTTCTCATATGCTTATTGGCCATTTGTCTATCTTCTTGGAAGAAGTGTCTTTTTATATGCTTGCCGATTTTTTAAAAGCTGGTTTGTCTTTTTATTATTGAGTTGTAATATATGTTTTCTTTATATATTCTGGATATAAGTTCCTTGTCAGACATAATGATTTACAAGTATTTTCTCCCATTTTGTGAGCTGTCTTTTCACTTTCTTGATGTTCTTTGAAGCACAAAAGTTTTTTCATTTTAATAAAGTCCAGCTTTTTTTTTTTTTCTTTTTTAGACACAGGGATCTCCCTGTGTTGTCCAGCCTGGCCTCAAACTCCTGGCCCATGACCCAGGAGCCACCACGCTGGCTCAAGTCCTTTTTTTTTTTTTTTTTTTTTTTGAGACGGAGTCTCGCTCTGTCACCCAGGCTGGAGTGCAGTGGCGCGATCTCAGCTCACTGCAACCTCCACCTCCCGGTTTCATACTATTCTGCCTCAGCCTCTCGAGTAGCTGGGATTATAGGCACCTGCCACCACACCCGGCTAATTTTTTGTATTTTTAGTAGAGATGGGGTTTCGATGGTCTCGATCTCCTGACCTCGTGATCCGCCCGCCTCAGCCTCCCAAAGTGCTGGGATTACAGGTGTGAGTCACCTCCCCTGGCCGATTTGTTTTTTTTGTTGCTTGTGCTTTTGATACAATATCTAAGAACTATTGCCCAATCCAAGGTTGTGAATATTTATACCTATGTTTTCTTGTAAGAGTTTTAGTTTATTTTTTCTTAATTTTGTTCACTCCATGTCAGTGTCTTCTAAGAGTTTTATAGAGTTGGCTCTTACATTTAAGTCTGTGATCCATTTTGCAGTAATTTTTGTGTACAGTGTGGGGGAAGGGGCTCAACAATTCTTCTGTTGAGATATATGGATATCTATAGATATATGGATGTGTATATATATATGGATATCTATAGATATATGGATGTATATATATATGGATATCCATATATATATATGGATATCCATATATATATATGGATATCTAGTTGTCCCAGCAGCATTAGTTGAGACCATTACTTTTTGTTTATTGGTTTGTTACAAAGTTTAATAAAATTTTCTGCTTTATCACTAATTTTTCCAATAGCAATTTGTTGGCCTTTTGGTCTAGAGTGGCAGTTGGGGTCATTGTATGAGGGAAGCAGTTTAGAGTTGCAAGAATAGGTTATAAATGAATCCACTGATTTAAATATACAGGTTGTATATAATTTCATCCTTATGTTAACCTTATACTTGAACGGTAAATGAAGTTCAGCTGCTATTTCTCTGCCTACTGGGCATCCTTGTGTCATTAGTTATTTGGAAGCTTCCAGTGCTAAGCCATTAAATAGAAATCAGGGTCAGGTCCTTAAACATGTGACTTAAAGGAAGAAAAGATTCATACCTGTTCCTTTCTCTTTCTCTCTCCTTTCTCCTCTTTAATTCACCTATCCTAGCACCCTTTTTATCTTAAGAAGACTCTTCTTTTGTATTATTACACATAGCCTTTTTCTGAAGGAAGATCACATGTAAAGGTTTTATTTTTTAAATTGAAAATTCAAGGAAATGTTCTGTAGTGATGATTAAAAACATAGAAGTGTTGTAAAGATTGTATTAACCTTGATAAATTTAAATCCATAATTAATATAGTTAATATTAAAGTCTCCCATGTAATCCTAACTGAAGGTTAGAAATGGCATATTTTCCTTTTAATTTTCAAAATAACAAAAATATAATTATTTTACAATTTGTAAGGTTTGCTTAGCATTTTGAAAGAAACTTACTGTTTTTAGAATGTTTAACTCTAAATTGGGTCTTTTTCCCCCTGTTTTTAATAGTCATTAATTATTCACTTTTAGAGATCTTAAGAGCAAAGGGAAAAGCATACATTTTTTTACAGAGTGTTCGAGTTTTATGTGTCTCATCTCTATTTGTAGAGTTGTGCTTCTTTAGAGGCTGGTACTTTGCCAAGTAAAAACTAATTTCCTAGGAAATCAGGTTGCTGGCTTGACTTCTGGCAGTCTCTTTCCCTTCTTTTGTTGCTTTGTAAAAGAGCTGAGCTCAGTTCTGTGGAAAATCACTAAATCATCTAATTATTTTCCCCAGTTTGGATTAAACATGGTTGGTATATATTTGCATTGAACTGAGTTCTGTAACTTTTTCTTGATTATAGATTTGTTAAGATACCGTGAAGGACTTTGACTTCATTTGATAAGTTGCGTATTCATATCTGAAATAATGCTAATGGTTTTTTCCTTTAATGAATGTTCTTATTCTTTTAGTCTTTTTGTTCTCCCCTCCACTAGACCTACTTAGTGAGGGATATCACTTGTGTTCTTATAATGAAACCCAGACACTTGTGAAATATAATCATAGTTTCTATGATGTTGGCCCCTAATTCATTTTAAAAAATTACATTAACATTTATTGTCTGTTTCTGTTTTTTCTTCGTGCATATTTTACTATATAGATAATTTTGGAGGCTGCTTTTTAAACAACATCATATAATATGTGTTTATTATTTTTATTACAATTATTTGAAAACTTTTTTTTTTTTTTTTTTTTTGAGGCAGAGTCTTGCTGTCTTGCCCAGGCTGGAGTGCAGTGTCGCAATCTCGGCTCACTGTAATCTCTGCCTCCCGGGGTCAAGCGATTCCCGTGCCTTGGCCTCCCATGTAGCTGGGATTACAGATGTGCGTCAGCACACCTGGCTAATTTTTGTATTTTTAGTAGAGACGGGGTTTCGCCATTTTAGCCAGGCTGGTCTTGAACTCCTAACCCCAAGTGATCCACCTGCCTCGGCCTCCCAAAGTGCTGGGATTAAAGGTATGAGCCATTGCTTCCAGCCAGAAAACATTTTAAAACAGCTGAAGAATATTCCACTAATGGATATATTATTTATAGAACCAATTTATATTGTGTTCACACTTAGAGCGTTTATTAATTTCTGATTATTATAAAACACAATGAATATTGCTAAATATGACTTTCAGTATTTCTGTATTCTCAAAATAGATTATTGTAAGTGGAATTATCAAGTCAAAGTGTATTAACATTTCTAGAGCTCTCAGGAGAGCAAAACATTGCACAGTTGCTTTCTAGAATGGCTGTACAAGTTTACATTTCCATTAACAGTGTATGAGATTGAGATATACAGCTTTGCCAGCATGTTATTATTTTAAAATATTTGCAAATTTGATAGGAAATAGTAACTGGTTTCTGAAATTTGTATTTATTTGGTCACTAGTGGGACATTTAAAATATGATCATTAACATTTCCTTTAAGTGAAGTTGCTTATTCCTGTTCTTGGTCCATTTTTCTTTTGGGTGATCCCTGATCCTTATGTGGAATCTAGGGATGAATAATATTCAGAACTGTGACTTAATCTGTACAAATGATCTGTAGAAAGTTGTTGTTTCATGTCCCCGCCAAGTTCTTTTGCCCTCCCTCTCCCTAGCTACTTTCTGCTTTTAAATGTGTTCTTGGATTTCATGTAAATGGAATCATTCCATATGCATTTTTAAAATGAACATCACTACTTTTGCTTAATACTTTTGAGATTCATCCATGTTATTGTGTTAATCAGTAATACATTCTTTTTTATTGCTGAGTAGTAGTCCTTTTTTGTTTCTTACATCTGTTGTTTTACTGAGGAAACCATAATCAATAGAAAATTGCAAGCTGTAAGCCAGTTTGTTGATTACAGTATTCAGTTTACCTCAGATCCAGGTTGTATCTCCCTATGGCATTGTTTCCATCACAGTAGTCATTTTAAGCCAGTCTCTTCTTACATGAGTAATTTCTGGAGAGAACACTTCAGTTAGATGAATATGGACTGAGCACGATTAAGAGAAAAATAGGCCAGGCGTGATGGCTTATGCCTGTAATCCCAGCACTTTGGGAGGCTGGATTGCCTGAGCTCAGCAGTTCCAGGCCAGCCTGGGCAACATGGCAAAACCTCATCTCTATAAAATATACAAAAATTAGCCAGGCATGGTGGTGTGTGCCTGTAGGCCCAGCTACTCGGGAGGCTGAGGTGGGAGGATCACTTGAGCCCAGGAGGTTGAGGCTGCTGTGAGTTGTGATCGTGCCACTGCACTCCAGCCTGGGCAACAGCAAGACCCTGTCTCAACAAAAAAAAAAAAAAAAAAAAAGAGAGAGAAAAAATATATAGGTACAAATATATTTAAGAGTTTCTTTTTTTTTCTTTATTTTTTTGAGATGGAGTCTTGCTCTGTCACCAGGCTGGAGTGCAGTGATACGATCTCAGTTTACTGCAACCTCCGCCTCCTGGGTTCAAGCGATTCTCCTGCCTCAGCCTCCCGAGTAGCTGGGATTACAGGCAGGCACCACCACGCCCAGCTAATTTTTGTATTTTTAGTAGAGACAGGGTTTCACCATGTTAGCCAGGATGGTCTTGATCTCTTGACCTCGTGATCCGCCCGCCTCAGCCTCCGAAAGTGCTGGGATTACAGGTGTGAGCCACCGCGCCCGGCCAAGAGTTTCTATAAGAGTGTCATTTAATAAAACCCTGTGACTTATTTGCTTCTGAAAGGTACCAATTTAAAAATCCTTCAAAGCTGGGCACGGTGGCTCACGCTTGTAATCTCAACACTTTGGGAGCCCAAGGTGGGCGGATCATGAGATTAGGAGTTCAAGACGAGCCTGGCCAACATGGTGAAACCGTGTCTTTACTAAAAATACAAAAATTAGCCAGACATGGTGGCATGCACCTGTAATCCCAGCTAAAACTCAGGAGGCTGAGGCAGGAGAATCCCTTGAACCCAGGGGGCAGAGGTTGCAGTGAGCCGAGATCACGCTACTGTGGTCCATCCTGGGCGACAGAGTGGGACTCCGTCAACAAAAACAAAACAAAACAAAAATCCTTCAAAAGTTTCTATTGTGATAAGAAAACCCAAGTGAGTTACTAAACAAAAAGTAAGGTTATTTTCAGAATCAAAATGATCTTCAACTAGAGACTGTTTAAAATGTACTTTAAAATGAGACAGAATTTGAAGAAACTAAAAATAAGGCTAAAAATAGGCATCCTCATTGTATAGTAAATTCTACATCATTATTGTAGACAACAGATAATTTCTAAGTGACACAATATGTCATTTTATGAATATACTACACTTTGTTTTTCCATTCTTCTATTGATATTTGTGTCATTTTCTTTTTTTTTTTTTTGAAACAGAGTCTTGCTCTATTGCTCAGGCTAGAGTGCAGTGGTGCGATCTTGGCTCACTGCAACCTCCACCTTTTCAATTCAAGCAATTCTCTCACATCAGCCTCCCAAGTAGTTGGATTATAGGCGTGCACTACCATGCCCTGCTAATTTTTGTGTTTTTAGTAGAGATGGGGTTTCACCATGTTGGTCAGGCTAGTCTCGAACTCCTGACCTCAAGTGATCTGCCCACCTCAGCCTCCCAAAGTGCTGGGATTACAGGCGTGAGCCACTGAGCCCAGATCATTTTTAGTTTTTGGTTATTATAATGAGAAGGCTGCTATAAACACTGCTTTGCAAGTATTGTTGTGAACATTTCATTTCTCTTGGGTGAATGCCTAGCAGAATTGTTGTGTCACAGGGCACATGTGTGTTTAACTTTATAAGAAATTGCCGGCTGGGTGCAGTGGCTCATGCCTGTAATCCCAGCACATTGGGAGGCTGAGGCGGGCAGATCACGAGGTCAGGAGATCGAGACCATCCTGGCGAACACGGTTAAACCCCGTCTGTACTCAAAATACAAAAAAATTAGCTGGGCGTGGTGGCGGGCGCCTGTAGTCCCAGCTACTCAGGAGGCTGAGGCAGGAGAATGGCGTGAACCTGGGAGGTGGAGCTTGTAGTGAGTCGAGATCGCGCCACTGCACTCCAGCCTGGGTGACAGAGTGAGACTCTGTCTCAAAAAAAAAAAAAAAAAAAAGTAATTGCCAAATGGTTCTCCAAAGAGAACCATGGAATGGTTATACCGTTTTAATACTTCATCAGCAGTTTATAAGTTCAGTTGCTCCACATCCTTGCCACTACCTGAGTTGTTAGTCCCTTTGATTTTAGTCATTCTAGTGAGTATAAAGTGGCATTTTAGAGTAGTTGTAACTTGTGTTTTCCAGATGATTAAATATATTGCACACTTACTTTTTTTTGGTGAATATCTTTGACAAAGGCAAATTTGCAGATTGATAGTAAATATCTTAGTAAAAGATTGTGTGTTTTATTACTACTTATGGATCCAGATTTATTCTCATTTGTAAGAGCAGAGATGGGAGATGGATTTATAATTAAAAATAAAATGAAATAATTATTCCAAATAGAAGATTTCTCAGAACTTTCATATAGTGATAATTCATGTTGATTTTTTGGAGTAAATATTTGCTATTGGTTAATATTGGTGGGAACTTTGATAAGTTGAATGATTCAAAAGAAAGACTTCAGGCTGTGTTTTGTAGAGAGCTATGGTTTTTTCATTTTTTTTTTCTATTACAAAATTTAAAAATAAAGATGAAGTCTCGCTATGTTGTCTAGGCTGGTCTCGAACTCCTCACCTCAAGCAGTTCTCCCACCTCATCCTCCCAGAGTGCTGGGATTACAGGTGTGAGCCACTGCACCCAGCCTAGAGGTACTTTCTGAATTTGATTCACTGATTGAATCACTGATTCAAGAATGTTAAAATAGTGTGATCTGGTTAGGAAACTATTCTATATTTGGGCCACTTGTGAGAACTGATAGCCTAGTAAAGTATCGGATAATAATGATAATATTAGTACTAGCAGCAGCCAATGCTACATTCCAAGAAGCGTTCTAAGTGCTTTACATGCACTAACTAATTTAATCCTCATGATAACTCCTGTGAGGGCAGCTACTATTATAATCTTTATGTTACTGGTAGGGAATCTGAGATAGAGAAGGTAAGTGATTTGCCCAATATCATAGAGTAAGTGGTAGAACTGGGATTCAAACCTAGATAGTTTGGCTCCAGAGCTCATACTCTTAACTTTCAGTGCTAAATGGATTAAATTAAATGTAGTCAGTTTTACTTTGTTGTTGAGCATATCATTGTGCAGTAGTAGTGGCCCAAGTTTAAATTGGGATTTCTTTTTTTTTGAGACAGAGTCTCCCTATGTCACCCAGGCTGGAGTGCAGTGGCACGATCTTGGCTCACTGTGACCTCCGCCTCCCAGGTTCTAAGCGATTCTCCTGCCTCAGCCTCTGGAGTAGCTAGGATTACAGGCGTGCACCACCACACCTGGCTAATTTTGTATTTTTAGTAGAGACGGGGTTTCACCATGTTGATTGGCTAGGATGGTCTCAAACTTCTGACCTCAGGTGATCCATCGGCCTCGGCCTCCCAAAGTGCTGGGATTGCAGGCATGGGCCACCGCGCCTGGCCTAAATCGGGATTTCTAAGTTTGCAAATAGGCTATCAGTTTCTTTCTCTTTACTACCTATACTCCTGTCATATATTTCAGGGGTGATTTATCAAAGGAGATTTTTATCTGAATTAACAGACCGTGGACAAACTTAGTAACCTTAAATTGCTTTTCTAGAGAAGATAAGTCACTTCTCTCTGTACTTTAATTGAGTCTTAGAATACGAGCAACTACTTTCTGACAGTTTTCAGCACTGTTTAACTGGTCTTTGTGAGACTCTGAAAATGTAACGTTTAAAATTAACATTCCCTGGAAACAAACTGAGTGAAAAAGGAAGTTGATGAAAATTGTTGGACCTAATAATTGGGCCTACTATAGCACTACTACTTTAAAAAAATTTTTTTTTGAGATGGAGTCTGGCTCTGTCACCCAGGCCAGAGTTCAGTGGCGTGATCTTGGCTCACTGCAACCTCCGTCTCCCGGGTTCAAGCGATTCTCCTGCTTCAGCCTCCCAAGTAGCTGGGACTACAGGCATGCACCACCATGCCCAGCTAATTTTTGTATTTTCAGTAGAGACGGGGTTTTGCCATGTTGGCCAGACTGGTCTTGAACTCCTGACCTCAAGTGATCTGCCTGCCTTGGCCTCCCAAAGTGCTGGCTTGCTGCAATCTTGGCTCACTGCAACCTCTGCCTCCCAGGTTCAAGCAATTCTCCTGTCTCAGCCTCCCGAGTAGCTGGGACTACAGGCGTGTGCCATCATGCCCTGCTAATTTTTTTGTATTTTTAGTAGAGATGGGGTTTCGCCATGTTGGCCGGGCTGGTCTTGAACTCCTGACCTCAGGTGATCCTCCTGCCTCAGCCTCCCAAAGTGCTGGGATTACAGGCGTGAACCACCATGTCTGGTCAAAAATTCTCTTCTTTCTTTCTGAGTTCCCTGCATACTGAGACCACAGAATTATTCTTCATCATTAGTTTGGGTTTAGATAAGATTAATCTTCCAGGAGAGGGCTAGAGTTTTTGGCCAATTTCCTTGAAAGAGGGTCTAGGCATCACAGGAAATGATAGTACTGATTGGCCATGTCCTTCACCATACCTTTTGTGTCTCCTCCACTTCTGATTTGGTGTCATTATTCCTGTCATGGCTGACTTAAGGAGTGAATGAGAAGCTCTTTATATATGTATTGAATGTTAATAAACATGATATGTGAGTTTAATTCTTATCCTGCCCGTATGATTTGGCTAAATGTCTTCTCTGGGTCTTTGTTTCTCTTTTTATAAAGTGATAGTGTTTGACTGGATGATCTTTAAAGTTTTTTTAATGCTGAAATATTCTAAAAATTATAGTGAATAATGAGTACGTTATTTTTTAAATATACAAAATAAATAGGACCAACACTATTTATTGAGTAGCATTCATTCCTCTCATTTCAATGAGGATCTTAAGTCATGTATCTTATCTCTATATACATGTGAGCCTGTTCTTGTGTTATTTGCCTATCCCTATGTCAATATTACACTGTCTTATTTACCGTAGCTTTATAATAAGTGTGGATATCTAGTGTGGTGAAGCCTCATCCTCCCCAAACTTTGTTACTCTGTAAAATTATCTTGATTATTCTTTCAAATCTCTCCTAACCTTTAAAATTCTGTGATTTTTGTATATAGTACTATCGTACTGCTTATACTCTTTGGAGATTTGATTGGTAATCAGTACATTCTTATTGAATGAATAGAATTAAAAGTTATACTCTATAAGGGCTTATGAATAACAAAGTGTTACAAGTTAATTATTAGTAAAATTATGCCTGGACTTTTGAGAGTGCTGCTAAAATACCTGAATTTTTTTTTTGGAAAGTGTTTAATTAAATTACTTTGGAATTTGGGCAGGGTGTAGTACTGAATATTTTGGAGTCTACCACTCTCTGCCCCTTCCCCTTATTTCTTACTCCCTTTGGGTAAAGATTTTAGAAAGAGTAAGTATATTTAATATTTTTGTTTAGACAGGTAGTTTAAAACTGCCTTAAAAGTCATGATAAATTCCACATGAAATTGATGAAATTTTCTTTCTTTTCTTTTTTTGAGACGGAGTCTTGCTCTGTTGCTCAGGCTGGAGTGCAGTGGCGTGATCTCAGCTCACTGCAACCTCTGCCTCCTGGGTTCAAGTAATTCTCCTGCCTCAGCCTCCCGAGTAGCTGGGATTACATGCACATGCCACCATGCCCGCCTAATTTTTGTATTTTTTTAGTAGAGACAGGGTTTCACCATGTTGGCCAGGCTGATCTCGAACTCCTGACCTCAAGTGATCCACCTTCCTCGGCCTCCCAAAGTGCTGGGATTACAGGCATGAGCCACCATGCCAACATGGCCAATGTGGCAAAACCCTGTCTCTACTAAAAATACAAAAATTAGTCAGGTATGGTGGCACATGCCTGTAATCCCAGCTACTAGGGAGGCCAAAGCACGAGAGTTGCTTGAATGCGGGAGGCAGAGGTTGCAGTGAGCCGAGATCGCGCCAGTGCCCTCCAACCTGTGTGACAGAGTGAGACTCTGTCTCAAAAAAAAAAAAAAAGAAAAGCCAAGTGCGGTGGCTCATGCCTGTAATCCCATCACTTTGGAAGGCCAAGGCGGGTGGATCACGAGGTCAGGAGCTCGAGACCAGCCTGACCAACATGGTGAAACCCCATCTCTACTAAAAATACAAAAATTAGCTGGATGTGGTGGTGCACTCCTATAATCCCAGTGATTTGGAGGCTGATGTGGGAGGGTTGCTTGAGCCTGGAGGCAGAGGTTGCAGTGAGCCAAGATTGCGCTACTGTACTCCAGCTTAGGTGACAGACTGAGATTCTGTCTCAAAGAACAAAATTCAAAAACTTTTTTTTTTTTGAGATGGAGTCTGGCTCCGTCACCCAGGCTGGAGTGCAGTGGCGCAATCTCGGCTCACTGCAAGCTCCGCCTCCCTGGTTCACACCATTCTCCTGCCTCAGCCTTCCCAGTAGCTGGGACTACAGGCGCCCGCCACCACACCCAGCTAATTTTTTGTATTTTTTTCTAGTAGAGACGGGGTTTCACCGTGTTAGCCAGAATGGTCTCGATCTCCTGACCTCGTGATCTGCCCGCCTCGGACTCCCAAAGTGCTGGCATTACAGGCTTGAGCCACCACGCCTGGCCCAAAAACTTTTTTTTGTTTGTTTTGAGACGGAGTCTCTTACCTTGTCACCCAGACTAGAGTGCAGTGGCATAATCATGGCTCACTGCAGCCTCGACCCCCTAGGCTCAAGTGATCCTTCCACCTCAGCCTCCTGTGTGGCTGGGACTGCAGGCATGTACCACCACACCCGGCTAATTAAAAAAACCTTTTTTATAGAAATGGCATCTCACTGTGTTACCCAGGCTGGTCTCGGAACTCCTGGGCTCAAGCCATCTTCCTGCCTCGGCCTCCCAAAGTGCTGGGATTACAGGTGTGAGCTACTGCCCCTGGCCCCAAAACCCTTATTCATTGTTGGTATAGCCTCTTTGGAAAACAATTTGGCAGGTTGTCATATATAATTAAATGTACACTTACCAGAATGGTCCACTGTTTCACTCCCGGGTATTTATTCAAGTAAAATGAAAACACAGTCACACAAAAACCTATATGCAAATGCAGTATAGGTTGATGCAAAATATATATTTAAAATATATAAAATATTTATTAATGTAAATTTAAAACATATAAAATATATAATTAAATGTACATTTACCAGAATGGTCCACAGTTTCACTCCTGGGTATTTATTCAAGTAAAATGAAAACACAGTCACACAAAAACCTGTATGTAAATGCAGTATAGGTTGATGCAAAAGTAATTGCGGTTTTTGCCATTTTAATGCCTTTTTTTTTTTTTGAGACAGAGTCTCACTTTATGGCCCAGGCTGGAGTGCAGTGGTGCGATCTCGGCTCATTACAACCTCTGCCTCCCAGGTTTTCAAGCAATTCTCTTGCCTCAGCCTCTTGAATAGCTGGGATTACAGGCATGTGCCACCACATCCAGCTAATTTTTGTATTTTTAGTAGAGACGGGGTTTCACCATGTTGGCCAGGCTGGTCTGAAACTCCTGGCCTCAAGTGATCTGCCTGCCTCAGCCTCCCAAAGTGCTGGGATTACAGGTGTGAGCTACAGCCACACAGCTTTAATGCCATTTTAATGGCAAAAAACACAACTACTTTTGCACCAAACTCGTAATTGCCAAAAACTGGGAATAATGCACATGCACTTCAACTGGTAAATTGATAAAGGATGGCACATCTATACAATGGCATATGATTTGGCAGTGCATTCACTAACATTGTACAATATCAAATGCATTATGCTAAATGAAGGAAGTCAGACTTAAAAGGCCACATACTGTGTGATTTCATTTTTGTGGTATTTTGGAACAGGCAAAACTATAGGGAAAGAAAATTTATTTATTTATTTTGAGATGGAGTCTCGCTCTGTCACCCAGGCTGGAGTGCAGTGGCGTGATCTCTGCTCACTGCAGACTCCGCCTCCTGGGTTCACGGCATTCTCCTGCCTCAGCCTCCCGAGTAGCTGGGACTTCAGGTGCTCGCCACCACGCCCGGCTAATTTTTTTGTATTTTGAGTAGAGATGGGGTTTCACCATGTTAGCCAGGATGGTCTCGATCTCCTGACCTCGCGATCCGCCCGCCTCGGCCTCCCAAAGTGCTGGGATTACAGGCGTGAGCCACTGTGCCCGGCCCCTAGGGAAAGAAAATTGACCAGTGGTTGCGAGGGATTGGAAGAGAGTTTGACTACTGAGGGCATGAGGGAATTTTTTTGGGTGTTCTGTGTATCTTTTATATCTGTTCTATATCTTGATTGTGGTGGTGGTTACATAGTTATGTGTTTTTTCAAACTCAGGAGAGTATATATAAATTACACCTCTCCAATTAAAGTTCTAGCATATATTACCATATTAAAAATTATTTTGGAAATATCTCAGAAAATGTTTTATTTTGTTTTTATTTTCATGTTGTAGAGACAGGGTCTCACTTTGTCTCCCAGGCTGGAGTGCAGTGGTGTGATCATAGCTCACTGCAGCCTTGAACTCCTGAGCTCAAGCTCAAGCCTTGAACTCCTGAGCTTGAACTCCTGCCGCAGGCTCCTGAGTAGCTGGGACTCAGGCATGCACCACCATACCTGGCTAATTTTTAATTTTTTTTAGAGGCAAAGTCTTGGTATGTTGCCCAGGCTGGTTGAACTCCTGGCTTCAAGAGATCCCCTGACGTCTGCCTTCTAAAGCGCTGGGATTACAGACACGAGGCGCTGTGCCTAGCCATGTTTTTTTAGATTCTGCTTATGTGACTTTGGGAGGAGAGAAGGTGGTGGACCTCACTGGTAGAGTTTTGAAGGTGTTGAAAACACTGTGTAAATGCTGAATATGTTTACACTTAGCAAACATTCCTGTCATACATTTAATAGAATTTTATGATGTCAGAATTAGAAGAGCCCAAGAGACCTCATAAAGTGTTCTTTTTTTAAACAGATAAAGGACCCAAAGCCTAGGTAGGTAGGTTAGCTAAAGTCCCACAGCTAGGTAGTAGCAGACACAGATCTAGGATTTAAGTGATGGATTACTAATTTGACTCATATTTTATTAAAACACAGTTTTTATTTCAAGTTATTCTCTTGAGACTATTTTTAATTCCTTTTCAAAACTTTTCAATTGTATCATCTTAAAACTGGAAACCACTCCCTTCCTAGTGGTAGGAAAGTCCTGTGTCTGGTTGATAATAGGAAGGCTAAATATGAGAGATTCCATAACACTTAAAGTTTGCTTAGGCCCACTCAACAAAGTTAGTTATAAAGACACTTTTCTTTAACTGGTAAATCTAGTTGCTTATTTTTGTACTTTTCAAGGGCTGTCAGTTAGGAATAGGTTTTTGTAACTTTATCGCATTAAAAAATAATATTTTCAGATGATCATGATTGTTGGTTTGTTGGGAAAGTAGAAAAGGTTTAAGCGTGTTAGGTTCTTTCTGGTTACCTTAACTGCTTAAGAGTTTATCTTATAAATACCGAGGGATGTGAGAGAGCACCAGAAGCAGTCTTAATAGATACATATTCAGGAAATGGAGATTGGAATGTTATTCAAGACATAACAGCAGCTTTAGTTGTCTTCTATACTTGAGAACTGGCTTTCACTGTCCGTCTTGTGTTTTCTCTTTCTTGTACAGTAGTTTTGATTGCCTCTAGACCCCAATTCTAGAACAAAGTTTAGAGTTCCTGCTCCTTAGAGATACTGTTGATATTGTGGATATTGCAGATCCAGTCACAGAACTAGCAGGTGGCTTGGTCTCTTTCTTGTTTTGTTTTGTTTTTTTCTAGACAGAGTCTCACTCTGTTGCCCAAGCTGGAGTACGGTGACGCGATCTTGGCTCACTGCAACCTCTGCCTCCGAGGTTCAAGCGATTCTTCTGCCTCAGCCTCCTGAGTAGCAGGGATTACAGGCGTGTGCGACCATGCCCGGCTAATTTTTGTATTTTTACAAAATTTCACCATGTTGGCCAGGCTGGTCTCTGACCTCAGGTGATCCGTCTGCCTCTGCCTCCCAAAGTGCTGAGATTACAGGCGTGAGCCACCGCACCAGGCCTCTTTCTTGTTTTTGAAGCTGTGTCTGGGTCATGCAACTTAAGAGTTATTTCCTGTAAGCAATAGCTCCAGGCAGAGTTGGCCAGTTGCTTTCAGCCTTCTTTATAAATAAGGGAACTCTACCCCCACCCTAGCTCTGGCAGACTCTGTCTTGTCTTTTTTATTTTTTATTTTTTTAAATGTAAGAGTCTCATTCTGTTGCCCAGACTGGACTGCGGTACAGTGGTACAGTCATGACTCACTGCAGCCCGGACCTCCCAGACTCAAGTGATCCTCCATCTCAGCCTCCTAAGTAGCTGGGACTTATAGGCATGTGCCACCATGCCTGGCTAATTTTTTTGTTGTTGTTTTGAGATGGAGTCTCGCTCTGTCCCCCAGGCTGGAGTGCAGTGGCACCATCTTGGCTCACTGCAACCTCCGCCTCCCAGGTTCAAGCAATTCTCCTGTCTCAGCCTCCTGAGTAGCTGGGACTACAGGTGCCCGCCACCACGCCTGGCTAGTTTTTGTATTTTTAGTGGAGACAGGGTTTCACCATATTAGTCAGGCAGTTCTCGAACTTCTGACCTCAGGTTATCTGCCCGCCTCAGCCTCCCAAAGTGCTGGGTTTACAGTCTGAGCCACCGCGCCCGGCCCTGGCTAATTTTTAAATTTTTTGTAGAGATGGATCCTCTATGTGTTGCCCAAGCTGGTCTCAAACTCCTGGGCTCAAGTGATCCTCCTGCCTTGGCCTCCCAAATTGCTGAGATTACAAGTGTGAGCCCCTGTGCCAGGCCAGGTTCTGTCTTACATGGAACATTTTTCTTGCCTGTTCCCCAAGGAAGCCAGACTCCCAGCCACTGCCTGCTTCTGAACCAGGAGCCCAGTAGGCCTCTGGCTTCAGAGGCCTTACCACTTTGCATTTGTATTACTTATCAATGCCTGGAAGGTATTTACATTATTTTTTGAGCCAGCTATGCATTATTTATTTATATATTTGATACACTTATATATAGTTATTTGGGTGAATTTACTGTACCATCTTGGCCTGAAGCCAAGATTTCAAATCTTGCCTTCTTTCAAAGCCACATTTTCTCATCTTTAAAATTAGAGGCTGGGCACGGTGGCTCATGTCTGTAATCCCAGCACTTTTGGAGGCCAAGGTGGGTGGATCACCTGAGATCAAGAGTTTGAGACTAGACTGGAGAACATGTTGAAACATTGTATCTACTAAAAATACAAAAAATTAGCTGGGCTTGGTGGCACGTACCTGTAGTCCCACCTATTCCGGAGACTGAGGCAGGAGAATTGCTTGAACCTGGGAGGCGGAGGTTGCAGTGAGCCAAGATTGCACCACTGCACTCCAGCCTGGGTGACAGAGTGAGACTCTGTCTCAAAAAAAAAAAAAAAAATTAAATAAAATTAGAATTATAGCCCCTATCTCTTAGTGTTTCTTTGTGCTGATGAAATGAGATTATACACACTTATACACATTTATATGTAAATTCTTAGAACAGTGCCTTGAATATAGTAGGTGCTCTATATATAGTAGTTATTATATTTTCAAGTGAGTCCTATAATTCCTTGTTGGTATTTAGACAGTTATATAGTAACCCCTAAATACTTGTCAGTCAATATTCAGAATATCTGTAAATCTGTTTGGGAATTACGGCACGTTTTGAGGCACTTGGGTGAGACATTTAAATTTAATTTTAGGCCAGGTGCAGTGGCTCACATTTGTAATCTCAACACTTTGGGAGGCTGAGGCAGGAGGATTGCTTGAGGCCAGGAGTTCAAAACCAGCCTGGGCAACATAGCGAGACCCCTATTTCTATTTGTTAAACAAAGTTTAAAAATTATATTAAATTTAATCTTAATCTATATCCTAGGTACCTTGAACTGAAGGTTTTTCATGATGAACTGCAATTTTTTTCAATGTAACAGAGTGCTTTATTCTTTGTATTTACAGTTGCTTTCCAGAAATATTCATGTAATTGATACTCCTTTAAGCTCTATTGCATGTACTTTCTATTAGCTGTGAATCAAAGAAGTCAGTTTAACCTGTGTAGATGTCATAGAGACACCATAGAAGTTGGCAAGGAGTGAATTTTAAGTCAGGAAAAAGGGGTGTAACAATGTGTATGAGGGAGAAAATAAAGTGGTGCTTGGGGTAGAGATGTTGGCTTAGACAACCATAGTTCTGACTGAGGTAAAGATCTTTTAGGAGAAAGAAGAACAAAAAGGAGGGATAAAATATTATAGGACAAACTTCCAGCCTCTGTGTTTAGGTTATGACTTATATGTTTGCATATTGCAACTCCTAAAGCCGTCATTCTAGTCATGTAAACTTGAACCATGAATCCAGAAGCATGCATTATTATTTTTTCTTTATAAATCAGAACGGTCAGTTAAATTAGTTTTTCTTCTTGGATTTGGGGTTTGAATTAGTGGAGAGATGAGTGTTGTAGACCATTGTCTGCTATTCTTTTTTAGGAAAACCTGAGTATATCATTCTGCCCTTTAGAGACGTGCTCATGAAGATTATGCTTGTTGGTAAATGATCCTACTTCCTTGTTTCTTCAGCTGAAATAATACGACATGCCACTTCCTTTTTTCCTCTTACATCAAGCCCTGAGTATGCCTTTGTTTTTATTTTTGTCTTATGTTATAAACTACTGTGTGCATATAGGTGTTTGGAACCATGAGA
The DNA here is from genome assembly GCF_000001405.40 of Homo sapiens. Lineage (NCBI taxonomy): Eukaryota > Metazoa > Chordata > Mammalia > Primates > Hominidae > Homo > Homo sapiens. The sequence continues at coordinate 73,424,514 of NC_000014.9, read as the reverse complement.
GTGTTTTATCAAGAAAGAATCATGGCACTGAGAGGATTGATAGTGACTTCATTAGAAGCACTTTAGTTACGGCAAGATTTTATAAAGTTCTTAATGGTTATACATTTGTCCCCAAATGCAAAGGTTTTTAAAAAAATTATGTTAATTCGTTGTCAGAATCAATGATGGGATTTGGAAATCTTTGATTAAGTAGAAGACATATTAGGATTCTGACCCAGAACCTTTCAGGTATTAGGAAGAAATTAAACACTGCTTGTCATAGTTGCTCCTAAAATTTTATGTCTTTCTTTTTAAATGTTTCTTCTTTTTTATTTTTCAATCTAGGACAAGACTGCCAATATTTAAAAATTTCTCATATTCAGAAATGAGTGAGATTCTATATATAGAGAGAGAGTAATTGTGGTTTTTGCAATTACTTTTAATGGCAAAAACCATGATTACTTTTGTACCAGCCTACAGTACAAACAGTACAAGTATTAATACAACCGTCTGTCATTCTGTCATGTATCAAAATAGATCAAGAGTCTTTTTTTTTTTTTTTTTTTTTTGGAGACAGGGTCTCACTCTGTCACCCATGCTGGAGTCCAATGGCGCAATCTCAGCTCACTGCAACCTCCGCCTCCCGGGTTCAAGCGATTCTCCTGCCTCACCCTCCCAAGTAGCTGGAATTACAGGCATGCACCACCATGCCTGGCTAATTTTTTTGAGACAGAATCTTGCTCTGACGCCCAGGCTGGAGTGCAGTGGCACAATCTCTGCTCACTACAACCTCTGCCTCCTGGATTCAAGCCATTCTCCTGCCTTAGCCTCCCAAGTAGCTTGGATTACAGGCGTGTGCCACCATGCCTGGCTAATTTTTTTTTTTTTCTTTTTTGAGACAGAATCTTGCTCTGATGCTCAGGCTGGAGTGCAGTGGCGTGATTTTGGCTCACTGCAACCTCCACCTCCTGGGTTCAAGCCGTTCTCCTGCCTCAGCCTCCCAAGAGCTGGGATTACAGGCACCAGCCACCACGCCCAGCTGATTTTTGTATTTTTTAGTAGAGATGGGCTTTTGCCATGTTGGTGCCAGGCTGGTCTACAACTCCTGACCTCAGGTGATCCGCCTGCCTCGGTCTCCCAAAGTGCTGGAATTACAGGCGTGAGCCACTGTGCCCAGCTTGTTTTTTTTTTTTTTTTCAGTAGAGACAGGGTTTCATCATGTTGGCCAGGCTGGTCGTGAACTCCTGATCTCAGGTGATCCACCCACCTTGACCTCCCAAAGTGCTGGGATTACAGTAGTGAGCCACCGCACCCGGCCAATCAAGAGTCTTTATATTGATCTTGTGCCATAAATACTCCTTTTTATCTGTATTGCCATACTGGATATTTGTAAAGCAGTTTAGTTTGGTGGAAGGAACACAGGATTTGAAATCAGAGGGCTTGAAATCTTGTCTCTGTCACCAGCTTTGTGACTGACCTTTTTGAGATTGTTCACCTTATAAGTAATATGAAAAGAATAATGACATCTGTCTTATGATATCTGTCAGTTATAAGGATTAAATTTAAACAAAAACACTTTGTGTAAACTATAACATCTGGGAATATAACAGTTTTTTTTTTTTTTTTTGAGACAGGATCTCTTCCTCCTGATATGGTTTGGTTGTTTGTCCCTTCCACATCTGACGTTGAAATGTGATTCCCAGGTTGGAGGTGGGGCCAGGGGGGTGATTGAATCCTGGGAGCAGATCCCTCATGAATGATTTACCATTATCTCCTTGGTGATAAATGAGTCTTGCTCAGTGAGTTTACGTGAGATGTGGTTGTTTGGAAGAGTGTGGCACGTCCCCACCCCCTTTCCCCTGATCTCACCATGTGATCTGCCTCCTCCCACTTGGCCTTCCACTATGATTGTAAGCTTCCCGAGGCCCTCACTAGAAGCCAAGCAAATGTTGGTGCCATGCTTGTATATCCTGCAGAACCATGAGCCAGTTAAACCTCTTTTCTTTATAAATTTCCTAGTTTCAGTTTCCTTTATAGTAACACAAACAAATAGACCTTCTTTACCAGAGTTAGAAATTGGTTAGGCTTTTTATCCTATTCAACTCATGGTGTCATGAAAACAAGGGCAATTTGGAGGCCATATTGAGCTCTATCATTGCTTAAAGGCTCTGGTTCTCCACAAGGATAGTACTGCTACTATGACGTGTTTGGATCTTTGAGGATGCACTTTTGGTTGCCACAATGATTAGAGGAGGATGAGTCCAGTTTTGACATTCAATGAACAGGAGCCAGGAGTGCCTGACATCCCACAAGGTATGAGACAGTTCCGCATAACTTTATTTCCCCAGACATTGTAGGTGAAAAACCTGTTTATGCTTATCTTTTTTTTTTTTTGACGAAGTCTCGCTCTGTCGTCCAGGCTGGGGTGTAGTGGTGCAATCTTGGCTCACTGCAACCTCCACCTCCCAGATTCAAGCGATTCTCTTGCCTCAGCCTCCTGAGTAGCTGGGATTGACTACGGTCACCCATCACTACACCGGGCTAATTTTTTGTATTTTTAGTAGAGACGGGGTTTCACGATGTTGGCCAGGCTGGGCTCAAACTCCTGACCTGAAATGATCCACCCACCTCGGCCTCCCAAAGTGCTGGGATTACAGGTGTGAGCCACGGTACCCGGCCTATACTTAGGTTATTCTAATTCTGTTTTACATTTAGACACAAAGTGTTTGTTTTTTTTAAACATAGTTTTAATAGACACCGAATTTTCCAGGAATGTAACTACTGAGTATTAACCTGGGGCAAATTGTACTTTGTTTTGTTCAGAACTTTACCAAGAGTTGTTCACTGTTTTAGAAAATCCTATTACTAATGGCATTGCCCCTTATGGTATTTGATTTTCCTATTCAGCTTATTTGTCTCAATCTACATTTGTAGCTGTCATATTCATGGTGATTCTGTGTATAGGTGCAAGTGTCTATTTCCGTAATAATATGAATTTTAGGATGATTATACCTGAGCATTTGCATATTAAAATATTTTATTAAAAATTACTTTTCTGGTGAGGCACAGTGGCTCTTGCTTGTAATTTCAGCACTTTGGGAGGCTGAGGCAGGTGGACCACCTGAGGCTTCAAGACCAGCCTGGGCAACATGGTGAAACCCCGTCTCTACTAAAAATACAAAAATTAGCTGGGCGCAGTGGTGCATGCCTGTAATCCCAGATACTCGGGAGGCTGAGGCAGGAGAATCGCTTGAGTCCGGGAGGTGGAGGTTGCAGTGGGCCGAGATTGCACCACTGCACTCCAGCCTGGGTGACAGAGCAAGGCTCTGTCTCAAAACAAACAAACAAACAAACAAAAACACCAAAAAAAAACTTTCCTTTTCTTTCTCTTGTATTACTTTAGGCAGCATATTAATTTTCAGAAACTGAGAACAGATAGGTTACCTATTTGCAATTTATTTCAGGTTTGTGCACTGTTGTGCATTTCTCAGATACTTGTATTAATTTTATGACTATGCCACAATTTGTCTTTTTTCTAAAGATAGATTTTTTTTCCGCATTTTGTTGCTCTTACAAAAATATTCTTGCTTATGTCTTCAGGTACACATGTTAATACAAAATTTCTCTACAATAATGAATTTTATTTTATTGTGTTTTTTCTTGAGACAGGGTCTGGCTCTGTTGCTCGGGCTGGAGTGCAGCCATATTCATGGTGATTCTGTGTATAGGTGCAAGTGTCTATTTCCATAATAATATGGTGCGATCTCAGCTCACTGCAACCTCTACCTCCCAGATTCAAGCAATTCTCATGTCTCAGCCTCCCAAGTAGCCAGGATTACAGACGTGTGCCATGACACCTGGCTGATTTTTGTATATTTCGTAGAGACAAGGTTTTGCCACGTCAAGCAAGCTAGTCTCAAACTTCTGGACTCAAGCAATCCGCGTGCGTTGGCATCCCAAAGTGCTGGGATTACAGGTGTGAGCCACTGTGCCTGGCCTAACAATGAATTTTTAAAACATTTTTGGTGGTAATTTCCCCACCTACACACACCTATACACACACATGCACACACAGACAGTTGAAAAAAAAATGTGAATCAATAGTCACCCTTATACATGTGATACACTTATCTTTTCCAGTGTGTTTTTCTCTAAGTGCTGATTGTGACCATATAAATGATTTCCCAGTTCATTTTCACAGTTGAAGACAGCTGTCTTGGTTTCCTTTGGAGTGTGAGTCTGTTGACCTGGCTTTCCTTTGCTTATAGATTGTGTCAGACGACAACGTGTCTTGCAGTGAGTGCCTGGCTAAGCAGGAACACTGCTCTCATACCTGGAAACATCTGGGTCTTGAGTGCAATAAGGTTTCAGCTAGGGCTGGGTGCCGTGGCTCACACCTGTAATCCCAGCACTTTGGGAGGCCAAGGCGGGTGGATCACCTGAGGTCAGGAAGACCAGCTTGGCCAACATGGCGAAACCCCATCTCTACTAAAGGTACAAAAGTTAGCTGGGCATGGTGGCATGTGCCTGTAGTCCCAGCTACTTGGTAGGCTGGGGCAGGAGAATCATTTGAACCTGGGAGGCAGAGGTTGCAATGAGCCAAGATGGCACTACTGCACTCCATTCTGGGCGACAGGGCAAGACTCTTTCTCAAAAAAAATTAAGTTTCAGCTTGGACTAAGTTTGGATTCATCCCTTAAGTACTCCCATTCCTTGATGGAGTGAATTCTGTACGTGTGCCCTAACTACATATTTTGGGTTATGCCAGAGTTTCCCACCATTGTCTGAGGATGTTAAGGGGCAGGATGGGATTGGGTGGGACTTTCTGTTCTTGGGTGGGACTTTCTGTTTACTTTGATGTCAGACTTAGCTCCCCGTTTTACTTATTTTGACCATAAACTGCATATTCATTAAGGCTCAAATTTCAATAGTTTATTCTTCAGTTTTCTGGGGACTTTCTAATATGAGTATTCAGTTATATCTCTTGAGGTTTTCCTTATTTATTCATTTATTTATTTATTTATTTTGTGATGGAGTCTCGCTCTGTCGCCCAGGCTGGAGTGCAGTGGCGCAATCTCAGCTCACTGCAAGCTCCGCCTCCCGGGTTCATGCCATTCTCCTGCCTCAGCCTCCTAGTAGCTGGGACTACAGGCGCCCGCCACCACACCCAGCTAGTTTTTTGTATTTTTAGTAGAGACCGGGTTTCACCGTGTTAGCCAGGATTGTCTCAATCTCCTGATCTTGTGATCCGCCCGCCTCGGCCTCCCAAAGTGCTGGGATTACAGGCGTGAGCCACCGCGCCCAGCCCTCTTGAGATTTTCATTCCTTTTCCTCCTTCTACTAGATAGTTTGAAATTTTTGCCAAAGAGAAGATAATTTACGTAGGAATTTATTTTTTATTTGTTTTTCTTTTTTTTATAAACCTGACATTATGAACATACTTAACTTTAATCTTATGTCATCAAAAATTTATGCAAAGAAGCTCCAAGTTTTAACTTTGATTCAGGGTTTAATTATTAGAATGTGGATACAAATTATAACTTCTGTAATTATGCTTTGAACTATAAGGGTGACTCTTTGGTCCTATTCTTGATGACTTGTATAGGGGTGCTGAATAATGAGAAAGCAAAGGAAGAAGAGTCACCATAGGACTCAAAAATAATAAACACAGTGTTCATTCCAGTCTAGAAGTTGTGATATGGTTTGCTTTGCTTTTTTTTTCCTTATGTGGTAAAATATACATAAAAGTTACTTTTTTTTTTTCGAGACAGAGTTTTGCTCTTGTTGTCCAGGCTGGAGTGCAGTGGCGCAGTTTCGGCTCACTGCAACCTCCGCCTCCCGGGTTCAAGCGATTCTCTTGTCTCAGCCTCCTGAGTAGCTGGGATTACAGGCATGTGCCACCATGCCTGGCTAATTTTGTGTTTTTAGTAGAGACGGGGTTTCTCCATGTTGGTCAGGCTGGTCTTGAACTCCTGACCTCAGATGATCTACCTGCCTGTGCCTCCCAAAGCGCTGGGATTACAGGTGTGAGCCACCATGCCTGGCCAAATTTACTGTTTTAACTGTTTCTAAATGTACAGTTCAGTGGCATTCAGTATGTTGACATTATTGTGCAACCATCACCACTGTACATCCCAGAACTTTTCTATTTTACAAACTGAAATGGGCACGGGCCCATTAAACAACAATTTCCTATACCCCACTCCTCTCCAGTCCACAAAACCACCATTCTCCTTTTTGTCTCTATGATTTTGACTATTCTGGTTATCTTATATACATGGAATCATACAATATTTGTTTATTTTTTGTGTCTGGCTTATTTCACTTAGCACAATTTTCAAGGTTCATCTTTGTGGCAGCAAGTGTCAGAATTTCATTATTTTTAAAGGCTGAATATTCCATTTTATGTATAGACTACATTTTTTTTTTTTGAGACAGAGTCTTGCCCTGTCACCCAGGCTGGAGTACAGTGGCATGATCTCAGCTCACTGTGACCTCCGCCTCCTGGGTTCAAGTGATTCTCCTGCCTCAGCCTCCTGAGTAGCTGGGATTACAGGCGCATGCCACCATGCCCGGCTAATTTTTGTACTTTTAGTAGAGATGGGGTTTCACCATGTTGGTCAGGCTGGTCTCGAACTCCTGACCTTGTGATCTACCTACCTCATCCTCCCAAAGTTCTGGGATTACAGGCATGAGCCATGGCTCCCGGCCTAGACTACATTTTGTTTAGCCATTCATCCATCGGTGGACACTTAGGTTGTTTTCATCTTTTGGCTACTGTGAATGATGTTGCCTTGAATATTGGTGTACAAATATCTGTTTGAGTCTCTACTTTCAGTTATTTTGGGTATATACCTAGAAATGGAATTGCTAGAATATATAGTGATTCTATGTTTAATTTGAGTAACCACCATATGCTTTACTGATTTTGTTTTTTTACATTATAGATGTATTTTTAATCAATACATACCTTTTTTTTTTTTTGAGAGAGGGTCTCACTTTGTCACCCAGGCTGGAGTGCAGTGGCTCGACCTTGGCTCACAGTGAAACAGGAGAGTTTCCTGACCCCCTTCTGGGACTTGTGATAGCGGTATGGCTCAGTTGCCCCTCACTCAAACCCCTTACAGGAGGGGGAACATGCAGACAGGCAGGTGCAGGAGCCAGGGAGAGTGCTTTTGGGCTCCAGCCCCATGGTAGCGTCTAGGAGTGTGTTACAATTAATGCTCTTTTAGCAGTTGCCATCTACAGATGGCTAAGTGTGTAAGTCAGAGTGAAGCCTTTTACACTCTGCCCTCTTGTTACCTGAGTCCTTGTCTGGCATCCAGGAAGGATAAGGTCACACATGGACTTGAGGGTGGTGAATGCAGAGGTTTTATTGAGTGATGGAAGTGGCTCTCAGCAGGATGATGGGGAAGCTGGAAAGGGGATGGAGTGGGAAGATGATCGTCGCCTGGAATTCGGCCATCCTGTGACCGATCTCCTCTCCAGCCATCCCCAGCCAAACTCCTCTCAATGTTCAGATGCTCCTTCTCTTCTCCTCTGCCATGCCATTCTGCTGCTCTTCTGTTCTGCTCTTCTGCTTGTGGAGCCTGGGGGTTGGGGTTTCAATGGGTACAGGATAAGGGGGCGTGGTGGGCCCAAAGGCAACATTTAGGCACAAAAACAGGAATGCTTGTTCCCATTTAGGGCCGGCCTTTGCTGGAGAACTGCCCTCTTCTACCCTGTATTTCCCTGCCTGCTGTCTGTATTAACTGCAACCTCTGCCTCCCAGGTTCAAGTGATTCTCATGCCTCAGCCCCCCAAGTAGCTGGGATTTACAGGCATGTGCCACCACACCTGGCTAATTTTTGTATTTTTAGTAGATAAGGGCTTTTGCCACATTGGCCAAGCTGGTCTAGTACTCCTGGCCTCATGTGATCCTCCCTCCTTGGCCTCCCAAAGTGATGGGATTACAGTCTGAGTCACTGCCCTCAGCCTATACATACATATTTGCACACTTATTTATTTTGGATACATTTTCTAGAAGTGTAACTATTGGGTCAAAGGATGGGCATAATTTTGAAATGTGATTATTTTCTAAAGAGCTTTTATACTGATATGCCATTGTTGGATAAAGCCCTGCTAGTAGTGAATAGGAGTGCGCCCCCACAACCTTTAAACTTATTCTAACTGGCATAGTGATTCTAGTAAAAAAAAAAAAAAAGAAAAGAAAAAGTAAGAGTATTTACTGTGGTTTTTCCAACTAACATAATTTTTTCCCTTAAGCATATTTTGTATGGAGAATGTGTCAAATTTCGTTGTTTTGCAGGTCTCAATAAAGCTTGTATGTTGTGCTTAAGTTGCTCTTCTCTGATCTGTTCCTCTAGTGGCAGATACCTGGATGTAAACAATCTGGGTGTTCATTTATCTTCATGGAATTTACAAAAGACTTTTAATCTAGGAAGTGGCATAAAATGTCACAGTGGATATTAAATGTTTATCTATAGGGGAAAATTTGGCAAGCCAAATCTTTGAACCAACAGCCTTTAGTTGAGTTCTGTGAATTCACTGTGAAGTGCCAGCATTTCCAATTGTTTATAGAAATCTAGATTTTTTTTCTTTCTTTTGTAGTACTGTTTTAGAAATAATCTGTTTTCATATTTCCTCTTTATTATAAAACATAGCCTGCTCTAATTCTAAAGTATTGCATAATTACTACTAACATCCATTTATCATGGCTTCTTGACTAGCATCGTTGGAATATTGGTTTTCTTGAAAATAGTTACAAGAGGCCGGACGTGGTGGCTCACACCTGTAATCCCAGCACTTTGGGAGGCTGAGGAGGGCAGATCACTTGAGGCAGGGAGTTCGAGACCAGCCTGGCCAACATAGTGAAACCTCATCTCTACTAAAAATACAAAAATTAGCTGAGCGTGGTGGCTCATGCCTGTAATCCCAGCTGCTTGGGAGGCTGAGGCAGGAGAATTGCTGGAAGCTGGGAGGCGGAGGTTGCAGTAAGCCAAGGCCATCTCAAAAAAAAAAAAAAAAGAAAAGAAAAAATAGTTGCAAGACAGTAAGGAGAAATAGTTTATCGTGCTGGTATGGAGGCAGAAAGATGTGGAGTGTAATCATAGAAAAATGTGAAGTGTTACTTTAGTTATTTTGGCTATGTCATTGTTCATTTTGGTTATATCATTGTTCATTTTGGTCAAATAACATGTAAGGTGTTTTCACTAGTAACAATGTTGTTTCTTGCATATCTGAAAAGCCTTTACAAGACCTATTGTTATTCCTCTGTGTTTTGTTGGTATTTAGCTCTCCTTTTAACACAGTTGTTAAAACTGAAAGCAGAACATGAGAAGCAAGCACTACAGTCTGTTAAAGAATCAGACCAATGACGAAATGAAGTGAAACACATTGTTGGCTAAAAATAGCATTTTGCAAATTACATTTGAAGTTGGTTTGTTAGAGCATCTATTGGTAATGAAATTCAGCTGTTCTTATTCTGTGTTTTGTGTGTATTTTTAAAACATCATTATCAGCTGGGCGTGGTAGCGCACCTGTATCCCAGCACTTTGGGAGGCCGAGGCAGGCAGATCACAAGGTCAGCAGATCGAGACCATCCTGTCTAACACGGTGAAACCCTGTCTCTACTAAAAATACAAAAAAATTAGCTGGGCGTGGTGGTGGGCGCCTGTAGTCCCAGCTACTCGGGAGGCTGAGGCAGGAGAATAGCGTGAACCCGGGAGGCGGAGCTTGCAGTGAGCTGAGATCACGCTACTGCACTCCAGCCTGGGCAACAGAGCGAGACTCAGTCTCAAAACCCGCCCCCCCCGCACCCGCCCCCAGAAAAACCGGTCATTATCTGGGGGCCAGGCACGATGGTTCATGCCTATAATCCCAGCAAATTGGGAGGCTGAGAAGGGCAGATCGCTTTGAGCTCAGGAGTTCAAGACTAGCCTGGGCATCATGGTGAAACCCCATCTCTATGAAAAATTAGCTGGGTGTTGCTGGCTTGCACCTGTAGTCCCAGCTACTCAGGTGGCCGAGGCTAGAGAATTGCTTGAGCCAGGAAGCGGAGGTTGCAGTGAGCCATGATCACACCACTGCATTCCAGCCAGAGCGACAGAGTGAGACCCTGTCTCAAAACAAACACCCCTGCAACATTATCTGAAAGTAGATGGCCATGCAAAATGAGTTTCTCTTGCTTTTTAACTAGTTTTTCCTTTAAGACCATATAAGCCTTTCCTATAGTCTCTGAAAACTTAAGGCTGTAATACTTGGAATTAAGAGTAAATGAAGGCTGGGTGTGGTGGCTTACGCCTGTAATCCCAGCACTTCGGGAGGCTGAGGTGGGTAATCACTTGAGGTCAGGAGTTTGAGACCAGCCTGGCCAACATGGTGAAACCCCGTCTCTACTAAAAATACAAAAATATTAGCCGAGTGTGGTGGCATGTGCCTGTAGTCTCAGCTACTCAGGAGGCTGAGGCATGAGAATCCCTTGAACCCGAGAGGTGGAGGTTGTAGTGAGCTGAGATCGTGCCACTGCACTCCAGCCTGGGTGACAGAGTGAGACTCTGTATCAAAAAAAAAAAAAAAAGAAAAAACATTTGAGATAATTAAATTTAAAACAGTAAAATTCAGGTGTGACTGCTTAATATTATAATACTGCATTGGTTTGTGGGCTTTTAAAGGCAGGAACTGTATCACTGTGTTTAGCATACATAATAAAAGAACTCTTTGTTTTGTTTGTTTGTTTTTATTTTGTTTGTTTTGACTTGGAGTCTTGCTCTGTCACTCGGGCTAGAGTGTAGAGTGCAGTGGCACGGTCTGGGCAGTGGCGCAATCTCTGCTCACTGCAACCTCCACCTCCTGGGTTCAAGCGATTCTTATGCCACAGCCTCCTGAGTAGCTGGGACTACAGATGCGCACCACTAGGCCTAGCTAATTTTTGTATTTTTGGTAGAGACGAGGTCTTACCATGTTGGCCAGGCTGGTCTCGAACTCCTGACCTCAGGTGATCCACCCGTCTCGACCTCCCAAAGTGCTGAGATTACAAGCGTGAGCCACCATGCCCCGCCTTATTTTTTAGAAAAAGAATCAAATCATTAGAAGCAAATGTTCCCAGTTCTGGTAAAATCTGATTTTTAAATACAAAATTATTTAATTAAAAAATAGGCACAGTGGCTCACGCCTGTAATCCCAGCACTTTGGAAGGCCGAGGCGGGTGGATCACGAGGTCAGAAGTTAAAGACCAGCCTGGCCAACATGGTGAAACCCTGTCTCTACTAAAAATACAAAAATTAGCTGGGCGTGGTGGTGTGTGCCTGTAGTCCCAGCTACTTGGGAGGCTGAGGCAGGAGAATTGCTTTAACCCAGGGGAGGCAGAGGTTGCAGTGAGCCGAGATCACGCCACTGCACTCCAGCCTGGGTGACAGAGCAAGACTCTGTCTCAAAAAATAATAATAATAAATAATAAAAATAAAAATAATAAAAAATAAAAAATAGGCTCTGGAGTCAGACAGCCTGTTTTATTTTACTACTCTTTTAAAAACCCCATACCCACTACTTCGTATTTTTGTGATCTTGGAAGTTATTTGTGCCTCAGTTTTCCTAGTTATGAGAATATTTAATAGTTGCTTTTGGCAGGGCACAGTGGCTCATGACTGTAATGCCAAGGTGGGAAGACACTTGAGGCCTGGAGTTTGAAGCCAGTGTGGGCAACATGACAAGACCCTGCTTATAAAAAAATAAGAAGAATTGGCCAGACATGGTGGCACATGTCTGTAGTCCCAGCTACTTGAAAGGCTGAGAGGCAGAAGGATCACTTGAGCTTGGGAGGTTCAGGCTACAGTGAGCTATGATCATCACGGCTCTCCAGGCAACAGAGCAAGACACCCCATCTCTTTTTTTTTTTTTTTTTTCTTTTGAGACGGAGTTTCGCTCTTGTTGCCCAGGCTGGAGTGCAATGGTGCAATCTCGGCTTACTGCAACCTCCACCTCCTGGGTTCAAGCCATTCTCCTGCCTCAGCCTCCCGAGTAGCTGGGATTACAGGCATGTGCCACCATGCCCAGTTAATTTTGTATTTTTAATAGAGATAGGGTTTCTCTATGTTGGTCAGGCTGGTTTCAAACTCCCGACCTTAGGTGATCTGCCTGCCTCAGCCTCCCAAAGTGCTGGGATTACAAGCGTGAGCCACCGTGCCCAGCCAAGACCCCTCATCTCTTTAAAAAATAGTCAATTTCATGAGAGTTATTGAGGATTAAATGGGATAATCCATAGGAGGTGCTTAGAAGAGCTTTTGGCAAATAATCAGTCCCCATTAAATGTTAGCTGCCCAGCTGGGCGTGGTGGTGTATGCCTGTAAACAGCAGTTTGAGAGGCCAAGGTGGGAGGATTACTTAAGCCCAGGAGTTTGAGACCAGCCTGTGTGAGATTGTCTTTATAAAAAAATTTTTTAAAAATTAGGTGGGCATGGTGGCATGCATCTGTAGTCCTAGCTACTTGGGAGGCTGAGGTGGGAGGATCACTTGAGCCCAGGAGTTTGAGACTGCAGTGAGGCATGATTGTACCACTGCACTCTAGCCTGGGTAATAAATCAAGACCCTGTCTCAAAAAAAAAAAAAAAAAAAAAAAGTTAATTGCTGCTTGTCTTCTTATTCAGGAACAGCACTATTGCATTGTCTGGTGAATTTATTTTGCTTCTAAAACATGCATGTATATTCAGATAGCAATATGACAGATGTGGGCACAAAATACACATTTAAAATTAGTTTTGGATAAAAGTTCTAAGAATTTTTACTTTTAGCTACTATAACTTTAATTTCTGTAAAAATAGATTAGCCGTTTACCAATTTATTCCGTTATTTTTTCTAATAAACTTTATTGATACCTGCTATTTATTAGGCATTGTACTAGATGCTAGGAATATAAAGTGGAGCAAACTTAGTTATGACCTTCAGCTGCTTAGAAGCTAGTGAAGAAAAGCACTACTGAGTTTTATAGTGTTTTAAACAAACACATATTTACAGTTTTGTAAATAACTTGTACCATGTCGTTATTAAAATGATTTTTTCTTTTTTTGTCTCCTGGAAGGTGTGTGAGCTGAACATTTTCACCTTTTGGATTGGCCTCTTATAGCATCTTATCTGTTTACCACAATTCTGTGGTATCTGCAATCATTATTATTTTGCAAATAAACTTGAGGTTTAAAGAGGTTATAATTAACTCATCCTACGACTACAAAACTCACTTTAAAAGTTTACTAAGTTGTAAAACTCATTCATTCAGCCTGCGCAACATAGTGAGACCTCATCTGTACCCACCCCCACCCCCACCCTCTACTTTCCCCCAAAAATTAGCCGGTCATGATGGCACATGCCTGTAGTCCCAGCTACTCAGGAGGTGGAGGTGAGAGGATCGCTTGAGCCTGGCAGATTGAGGCTGCAGTGAGCCGAGATCACGCCACTGCACTCCAGGCTGGCAGGCAGAGCGAGACCCAGTCTCCAAAATACAAAACAAAATCCATCCTATCATTCTTCCTCCCATATATTATAAGATTCATAACCTGTATTAGAAGACTTAACCCATTTATGTTGTATTTGAGATATATGTGTCTATTTCCCTATTAAAATTGGGAGCTTTTCAGAGGAGGGACTAATCTTACGTTTTGGGTAGCCCAGCAACAAGTAGACTACCTTTACATATTGGTTACCTAATAAATATTAGTTGAATAGTGAGTATGTAGGCTGTTAGAAGTATAAGGAATTTTAGAGTTCATGTAAATCATACAGACACTAGAATTTCTAAAAAGAATTTATAGATTGCTTACATAGAATTACAGCTCTTTATTTTGGCTATGGAGAACTTAAACAACAACTGCTACCATCTACTGTTACTTTCACATAATCTCATAAAAGAAGCCATTTTAACACCAAAAATGTAGGAAGGACAGTTTCATAGTAAGCATAATTGGTAACTTTATACATAGTTTTTAGTCATGGCTCGCATCTGTTCAAGAATTAGATTTGAACAACCACTATTTAATTCAACCTTCCCCTTTTAGAGATGATAAAATCAATCCCATAGAGACGTATCAAAGTTCTTACAGCAAGGGAGAATGATCACTGAGTTTGGAACCCAGGTCTTCTGACTCCTAGCCCAAAATTTTGATCTGGTTCCCTCAGTCTTCATCACAGTATCAGACTTATGCACGGAGAATTTGTGACTTAACTGAGATCGTATAGCTCTTAAGAATGTAAGGCTGGAACTTGAACCCATATTATCCACCTCAGTTTTTAAAATTGTTATTATTTTTGCCCTGTTTCAAGAATTGCACAGGCCAACTCTATTTTTAGTGAAACCTGTGCATTCATTTCCATATATCGTAACCAACTCCATCAGTCCTTACTCAACTATAGATGTGAAATTTTAAGTGATTGAAAGGAGATATGTATATTTAAGATTTTCTTTCCTTGAAAATTTCAGATTTGAGGCTTAAGCAACTTCTTCCGGGGAAGAGTGCCAGTGCAGCCACTGTTACAATTCAAGATCTTGATCTATATCCATAGATTGGAATATTGGTGGGCCAGCAATCCTCAGACGCCTCACTTAGGACAAGTAAGTGAAAGAGATACTTAAGGATAAGCAAAGTGGATTGAAAGCTAACAGTCTTTCTTCCAGTTTGTAGTTAGATGCAAACATTTTATTGCCTTTACAAATATAACCCTTTGTCCTGGTAAAATCACTTGGAATCTTAGGTGGGTAGGGTGAAACATTTCCTTAATTGTAAAATGTGTGTCAAAATGTTTTATAATGGTAAAACTTAGAATAATTAAAATTGTTTTTCTTTTTGTCTGTTTTCCAGATTGTATTTATGAGCTTGTGTTGCAGTTATCTATTGCTGTGTAACAAAGTACCTCAAACTTAGTGGCTTAAAACAACAGTCATTTATTTTGTTCATATATTTGCAGTTTGAGCAAGGCTTGATTGGTAGGGATGCTTGTCTCTGTTAACATACAGCATGAGGTGGGGTGGCTGGAAGGGTTGGAGTGGCTCAGTGGCTGGGAACTGGGATCCTTTGAAGGTAGGCTTGCTCACTCACATATCTGGTGGTTAAAGCTGGCTGTTGGCTAGGACCTCAGCCTGGGCTGTTGGCAAGAACACCTTCATGTGACTTCTCCTTGTGGCTGCTTGGCTTCTTCACAGCATGGTGCCTGGGTTCCGAGAGAGAGAGCATCCCAAGAGAGGAAGGCAAAGGTGCATGGCATATTTGACTTGGTTTTGGAAGTCACATAGTGTTACTTTGCTCTGTCCTACTGGTTGATGTAGTTGTAAAGGTTCTCCCAAGTTTCAAGGAAGCTGTGGACATAGACCCCACCACTTGAAAGGATCAACATCATATTGTAAGAAGAGCATATGGGATGGAATCTAACGTTGTAGGCATCTTTGGATAATATCTGCCACAATTTGTATTACTTTTGAGATAAAGAATATAAATAACATGTAATATATGAAAAAGAGGAATATTTACAGGATATTATGGTGTATGAGTTCAATAAGAATTTGATGTGTTCTTGTGTAGTAGAGGATGATATTGAAAATAAGATGTCTAAACAGAAATAAAGTGAAATAGATTTGGAATTTTCTTTCTTTCTTTCTTTCTTTTTTTTTTTTTTTGAGAAGGAGTTTTGCTCTTGTTGCCCAGGCTGGAATGCAATGGCACGATCTTGGCTCACTGCAACCTCTGCCTCCTGGGTTGAAGTGATTCTCCAGCTTCAGCCTCCCGAGTAGCTGGGATTCCAGGCTTGTGCCACCACACCCGGCTAATTTTGTATTTTTAGTAGAGACGGGGTTTCACCATGTTGGTCAGGCTGGTCTTGAACTCCTGACCTCAGGTGATCCACCCTCCTTGGCTTCCCAAAGTGCTGTGATTACAGGTGTGAGCCACCGCGTCCAGCCTGGAATTTTCTTTTGTGTCAACAAAACAGTATACTGCTACAATCAAAAGTAGAGACAAAAGTTTATAAACAAGATGAAAAATAAGATTTGTAGTTTGGAGTTTTGTTGTTGTTGTTTTTAAGAACACGTTAGTTCAAAGCCTACTTGGGTCTTTTTTTTTCTTGTTTGTTTGAATAATTTGATAATTATTTGGGAAATTGATTTCCAATATAAATTTGAGGACTGAGTGCCAATATTATCATTATATACCTCCAAATTTGTTTTGTCTGTCTCTGTTTCTTTAAAGGAAGTCTTTTTCAGGATTGTACAGTCTTACCTGCTAAATTTCTGGTAAATATCTTAACGTTTTTTCTTTCCTTTTTTTTTTTTGAGACGGAGTCTTGCTCTGTCGCCCAGGCTGGAGTGCAGTGGCGCAATCTCAGCTCACTGCAAGTTCTGCCTCCCAGGTTCATGCCATTCTCCTGCCTCAGCCTCCCGAGTAGCTGGGACTACAGGCATGTGCCACTATGCCCAGCTAATTTTTTGTATTTTTAGTAGAGACGGGGTTTCACCATGTTGGTCAGGATGGTCTCAATCTCCTGACCTTGTGATCTGCCCGCCTCGGCCTCCCAAAATGCTGGGATTACAGGCATGAGCCACCACGCCCGGCCAAGTTTTTTCAGTGGGATGAGAAAACTGCAAAGTTACAGAGTATTTTGTTGCCTTATTGACTGCTACCAGTTATATAAACTGCCTGTGGCAGGTTTGAATATAGGTAATTCTCAAATTCTGGATGTGATGGAAAATATTTTTAGAGAATTCTGTAAACATCACATGTGATTGTGGTCTGTGCACTATAGGAATGGACAATAGGCTTTAGGAAGCAGAAGACCCAGAAGATTTTCTTGCTATCTAGATACTTTCTCATTCCAAAGTGATTTACATCATAATGAGTTTAATTTAACAGAGTCGGTTCAGCACTATTTCCCTAGTACTTGCAGGTAAAATTCTATAATGGAAAATAACTGAACCACCTAGTGTGTCAATAGAGGCAATATCAGAAGTTTGTTAATTCTCAACTGCGAATGATCAGAATTGACTGATTTTTGTGAAACAATATATTTTAGTTCAGAAGTTACAGTAATTGAGAAAGCTGTTTTTGTTTTTGTTTTGTTTTGAGACAGGGTCTTGCTCTGTTGCCCAGGGAGGAGTGCAGTTAGCACTACAACCTCCACCTCCTGGGCTCAAGTGCTCCTCTCATCTCTGCCTCCAGAGTAACTGGGACTACAGGAGCATGCTACCATGCCTGGCTAATTTTTGTATTTTTTGTAGAAATGGGGTTTTGCTGTATTGCCCAGGCTTGTCTCAAACTCATGAACTCAAGCCATCTGCTCATCTCGGCCTCCCAAAGGGCTGGGATGACAGGAGTGAGTTTGTTTTTTTTGTTTTTTTTTTGCATTTAAAAACAAGATGAGGCCTGGCATGGTGGCTCACTCCTGTCATCCCAGCACCTTGGGAGGCCCAGGTGGGTGGATTACTTGAGGCCGGGAGTTGGAGGCCAGCCTGGCCAAAATAGTGAAACCCCGTCTCTACTAAAAATACAAAAAATTAGCTGGACGTGGTGGTGCACGCCTGTAACCCCAGCTACTCTGGAGGCTAAAGTGGGAGAATCAAACAACCCCATCAAAAAGTGGGCGAAGGATATGAACAGACACTTCTCAAAAGAAGACATTAATGCAGCCAACAGACACATGAAAAAATGCTCATCATCACTGGCCATCAGAGAAATGCAAATCAAAACCACAGTGAGATACCATCTCACACCAGTTAGAATGGTGATCATTAAAAAGTCAGGAAACAACAGGTGCTGGAGAGGATGTGGAGAAATAGGAACACTTTTACACTGTTGGTGGGAGTGTAAACTAGTCAACCATCGTGGAAGACAGTGTGGCAATTCCTCAAGGATCTAGAACTAGAAATACCATTTGACCCAGCCATTGCATTACTGGGTATATACCCAAAAGATCATAAATCATGCTACTATAAAGACACATGTACATGTATGTTTATTGCGGCACTATTCACAATAGCAAAGACTTGGAACCAACCCAAATGTCCATCAATGATAGACTGGATTAAGAAAATGTGGCACATAGACACCATGGAATACTATGCAGCCATAAAAAAGGATGAGTTCATGTCCTTTGTAGGGACATGGATGAAGCTGGAAACCATCATTCTCAGCAAACTATCACAAGGACAGAAAACCAAACACCGCATGTTCTCACTCATAGGTGGGAATTGAACAATGAGAACACTTGGACACAGGAAGGGGAACATCACACACCGGGGCCTGTCATGGGGTGGGGGGAGGGGGGAGGGATAGCATTAGGAGATTTACCTAATGTAAATGATGAGTTAATAGGTGCAGCACACCAACGTGGCACATGTATACATATGTAACAAACCTGCACGTTGTGCACATGTACCCTAGAACTTAAAGTATAATAAAAAAAAAAAAAAACAAAAATATGTTAATATTCTGTGGAGAATATTGGTATTTTTGTTTTAATCTTCTGTGGGTTGTGGTTCCATATAAATTCAGTTTTCTGAGCTTTGGCAGTGTTATTCAGATCTGTCCCACAAGTGTTCCACCCATTGGTCAGTCTGGGATCTGGGTGTAGGTCTACTCATTATCTCAGTTATCAGAGTTTTTATTATGCCAATTGGTATCAGATGCATACCTACACAGGTTGAGGATGAGCCCAGCAGTTCATAAACAACATTATGGGGTCACTTTCCTATGGACAGAGAGAGAAGAAAAAAAACCCAAAACAACAGAGTTTGTCCTGCCCACTTGGAGGCACGGCTCCACAGGATGGAGAGAAAGGTTCCCTTCCTTCAAAAGTTTTGTTCCTGGAGGCTTTCCATTCCCAGATTCTTCTGTTGTTGCTGCTGCCCCCACCATGGATGACCTGGGGACTGACACATGAGAGTATGGAGTTTTCCCAAGCTGCTGAGCACAGTGGCTCACACCTGTAATCCTAGCACTTTGTGGGGATGAGGCGGGAGGATAACTTGAGCCCAGGAGTTTGAGGTTGTGGCGAGCTGTGATTGTGCCACTGCATTCTAGCCTGGGCAACAGAGTGAGATCCTGTCAAAAAAAAAAAAAAAAAAAAAAGAGAAAGAAAAAAATACCTAAAGGATTTCCCTCATCTTCTCTGAGCTGTAGGAGTTCCCTTTACGGGCCTTGAGCCAGAGCTAGAGGGTTCTGTTTCTCTCTCTGCCTGCACCATTGTGCTCACTTCTGGGTTTTAGGTTGTGTTGAGTTCAGGCTGGAGGATACTAGAGGAAAAAAATGATAAACTCACAGCTAGTTTGGGGATAGTTGGAATTCTGTTGATTTCCCTGGATCCACCTGTGATATTTACTTTACAGCATCTTCAAATAGCTGTTCATGCATTCCATCCCAGTGTTATAGTTAACTGGAAGATAAAGGGAGATATATTTACTTCATCTTACCAAGCGAGAAATCTTCCCAACATTTTTAACTTTTTGTTTTGAAATAATTTTCTCACGCCTGTAATCCCAGCACTTTGGGAGGCAGAGGCGGGCAGGTCACAAGGTCAGGAGTTCGAGACCAGCCTGGCCAACATGGTGAAACCCTGTCTCTACTGAAAATATAAAAATTAGCCGGGCTCAGTGGTGCGTGCCTGTAATCCCAGCTACTCTGGAGGCTGAGGCATAAGAATTGCTTGAACCCGGGAGGCGGAGGTTGCAGTGAGCTAAGATCACACCATTGCACTCCAGCCTGGGTGACAGCAAGACTCCGTCTCCAAAAAAAAAAAAGAAAATCATTTTAGATTCACAGAAAGGTATAAAAATATGAAAATGAAGTCCTATATGCCCTTTACCAAGTTACATAGCTGTAGTACAATACCAAAACCAGGAAATTAACATTAACACCAACTTTTTATTATGAAATATTTCAAATGTACAAGAATGTTGTAAGACATATGTTGAACATCTGTATATCCCCCACTGATATTTCAATATTTTTTCACATTTTCCCATGCTTTATATGTGTATTCTAATATGTATGTATCCTCTTTTATATAAACCACTTGAAAGTAAGTTGTAGACAACATAATTTACCTCTAAATACTTGAGCATGCATCTTCTAAGAAAAAGGATATTATACTTTATAAACATTTATTATTGAATGCAAACTATTTTTTCCTGTAACCCCAAGACCCTGATCATACCTTAACTATGAATTTTTTTCAACAAGAGTCTTGACGTTCCAGGGCTTTTGTTTTGAAGCATGTTATTATTATTATTATTATTATTATTATTTTACCTTTTTTTGTTTTTTGAGACATAGCCTTGCTTTGTCACCAAGACTGGAGTTCAGTGGCACAATCTCAGCTCATTGCAACCTCTGCCTCCCAGGCTCAAGCGATTCTTGTGTCTCAGCTTGCCAAGTAGCTGGGATGACAGACATGCGCCACCATGCCTCGCTAATCTTTTTTTTTTTTTTCAGACGGAGTCTTGCTCTGTCGCTCAGGTGATTTCGGCTCACTGCAACCTCCGCCTCTGGGGTTCAAGTGATTCTTCTGCCTCAGTCTCCTGAGTAGCTGGGACTACAGGGCCGCGCCACCATGCCTGGCTAATTTTTGTATTTTTAGTAGAGACGGGGTTTCAGCATATTGGCCAGGCTGATTTCAAACTCCTGACCTCATGATCCGCCCGCCTCGGCCTCCCAAAGTCCTGGAATTACAGGCATGAGCCACCATGCCTGGCCTCTTTTTTTTTGTATTTTTAATAGAGACAGGGTTTTGCCATGTTGGCCAGGTTGGTCTCAAACTCCTGGCCTCAAGTGATTTGCCTGCCTCGGCTTCCCAAAGTGCTGGGATTACAGGCGTGAGCCACCATGCCCCGCCAATCTCTTGAAGGCTTATATTATTGTTCAAGGATGTGTCCCTTCTGATGACATACTTCTGGTAATTATCTTGAGAGTCTGGGCTCTTACCATGTGTGCAATTCAGAGCCCAGGGAGCTCCCCGATTCTGTATTCTTGTCTCTCATTCTTTCCTCAGCTCAGGCTTCTCACAGCTTCCTGAGCAAATACTCAGAATAGTCCTCATCAGGAGATTGTAATTTTGTCAGACTAATTTAGGACTAGTATGTGACTTTGTTTTTAATTATTAGCCAGGAAGTTACTTACAGTTAAAATTGTGGTGGAGTTTCTGATATGGTGATATATAATGGGTGAATCAGGCTGTAAGCAGTTGAAAACCTGACTATAAAGCTTACATAAATCTGAAGTTGGCAGCTGCTCATGTTGCTTTAATGGTTCAACATTGTTGGGGCCTATGAATTTGTGATTTGCTTGGCCTTTCATGGTCTTAAGATGGCTACTGCAGGTCCAGCCTTCCACCTACATTCAAGGAAGAAGGAAAAAGACTATGCCAAGGAAAAGCTTTCTTATTAGTGATTCCAGCAAGTCACTTC
Organism: Homo sapiens; assembly: GCF_000001405.40. Lineage (NCBI taxonomy): Eukaryota > Metazoa > Chordata > Mammalia > Primates > Hominidae > Homo > Homo sapiens. The sequence goes on along the minus strand of NC_000014.9, from coordinate 73,403,102 downwards.
TGATGTTCCAAGGGCCAAAATTGGGTCATATGGTCACCTCCAGCTGTTTTCGTCTTTTGGCCTCTGTAATGAGAGGCAAGGAGGGAGTAGGGATTTGGGAATGGCCTTTTGAGTAACCAGTTAACATCTGTCACAGTTATATGATTACATTTATTTTATATCAAAATTGTGTTTGTTTGACTTCAATGTGATGTTCAGCACATAGGTGCTTTATTATTACATAATACACATTTAACTGGGTAGTGTGGAGAACCAAAGGACTAAAAATAGTAAAGATAATTTTAAATTTAGTTGTGAAAGTGAGCTTTTGATAACGCAAAGTGAAACTTGGCTTGAATCTTGAGACCTTGGGCAAGTTACTGAGTTTATAAGCTTCTGTTTCCTCATCTGTAAAATGGAATTAATAATATCTGACTTTCAAGGCAGTCGTGAAGTGTGAAGGAGATAATTTATGTAAAGTACCTAATACAGTGCCTAATACATTGGAGGTGCTACAATGGAAGATATTATTATTATAATTGTTTGGTATGTGGACATTGGGGTAGAGTGAGAGAGCACAGACTTTATAGTAGAAGATTATATTTGATTCCTAGTTACACTACATAGTTGTGTGTTCTTAGGCAAATCAATTAATCTCTCTGAGATAGTAATATAGTGTGTAATCTCTGAGGATTGTTAGATTAGATATATCTACAGTGCAATACTTTATGGGCTCTCAGTAAAAGGCATCTGCTCCTGCTATTTTTAGTTATTATTTTTATGTTTTAGGATCCATATAACAGATAGGGAATCAGTCATTTAATTTACTCTAGAAATGTATTTGTGATCAAGGAGATACTGTTGATTAGTAGTATTTTTCTCCATCTGTTGAAGAAAAATAGCTGCAGAAACTGGATTTGAATTATGAGGTCTTTTCCCACCATGATAAAAAGTTTTTAGCCAGGTGCAGTGGCTCACTCCTGTAATCCTAGCACTTTGGGAGGCTGAGGCAGAGGAATCACTTGAGCTCAGGAGTTTGATTGCAGCCTGGGCAAACATAGTGAGACCTTGTCATTACAAATAATTCTAAAAAATTAGCTGGACATGGTGGTGCGTGCACGTGGTCCTAGCTACTCACGAAGGCTGAGGCAGGAAGATTGCTTGAGCCCAGCAGTTTGAGGCTGCAGTGAGCTCTGATTGTACCCCACTGCTCTCCAGCCTGGGTGACAGAGACCCTGTCTCAAAAACAAATTTAGGCCGGATGTGGTGGCTCACGCCTGTAATCCCAGCACTCTGGGAGGCCGAGGTGGGCGGATCACAAGGTCAGGAGATCGAGACCATCCTGGCTAGCACAGTGAAACCCCATCTCTACTAAAAATACAGAAAATTAGCTGGGCGTGGTGGCAGGCACCTGTGGTCCCAGCTGCCTGGGAGGCTGAGGCAGGAGAATGACTTGAACCTGGGAGGTGGAGCTTGCAGTGAGCCAAGGTCATGCCACTGCACTCCAGCCTGGGCGACAGAGCGAGACTCCGTCTCAAAAAAAAAAAAAAAAAAAAAAAATTTAGTCTTACATATTTTGTTAGTGGTTTCCGTTGTACACATGGATGTGCTCTGGTGCCTTTGACATGAACCTTCCAGATCTGTACTTCTTTGTTTTGTTTGTTTATAGCCAGTTAGTCATTATTGGTTCATGAGTACCATCCCCTGTTTTTTTTTTTGTTAGTTTTGGAAGACTTAATTTTTTTAGAACAGTTTCAGGTTTATAGCAAAATTGAGCAAAAAAAATACAGAGAGTTTCCATATACCTGTTGCCCCCACAAACCCACAGCCTTTCTTACTGTCAACATTCCTTACCAGAATAGTACACAGGAGATATAAGAAAAATCAAACCAATACAAACTCAGTATAACACAGCACCTCTGGTCACCAAAATGCGTGGGGATTTCTATCTACCAGCAACCCAGTCAATTCTTTGGCAGACACCAGCTGGGTATCCTACATTTTAACTCAATTCTGACATTATTTACTTGGAGATAGAATCAGATCCCACAGGTTGAGGGCTCAATCCCCTACTTAAATTGCAAGCCCCACGTTGTGTCCTGTGCTTCTGGCTGATTAGCCATAAATTGGGGTTACCACAGCTCCCTCTTTTGGTTCAATTAATTTGCTAGAGTGGCTCACAGAACTCAGGGAAACACTTCATTTACATTTATTGGGTTATCATAAAGGGTATTACAAAGGAGACAGATGGAAGAGATGCATAGGGCAAGGTATGTGGAAAGGGGCATGCCATGCCTTCTTCAGGTGTGCCACCCTCCTGGAACCTCCAAGTGTTCATCTATCCGGAAGCTCTCCAAACCCTGTCCTTTCGGGTTTTTATGGAAGCCTCATTACATAGGCATGATTGATTAAGTCATTGGCCATTTGTAATCAGCTTACCCTTCAGCTCCTCTTCCCTCTCTGGAGGTTGGGGGCAACCCTCTTATCATGCCTTGGTCTTTCAGGTGACCAGCCCTTATCCTTGAAGCTATCTAGAGATGTCCAGCCACTGTCATCTCATTAGCATGTAAAAGATACTCATCACTCCAGAGGTGCCAATGGTTTTATGAGGTATATGTCAGGAAAGGGCAAGAAGACCAATTATATGTTTCATAATTTGTTATAATCGATAAACCCACATTGACACATTATTTTCACCCTAAGTCCTTAGGTTACATTAGAGTTTATTCTTGGTGTTGTACTTTCAAGGATTTTGGCAAATGTAATGACATGCATCCACCACTGTAGTATCATGCAAAATAGGTTTACTACCCCAAAGATTCTCTGTGCTCTGGCTGTCCATCCCTTCCTCTCACCTAACCTTTGGTAACCACTGATCCTTTTCCTGTCTCCATAGTTGTGCCTTTTCCAGAATGTCATATAGTTGGAATCATATGGTATATGTAGCCTTTTCAGATTGGCTTCTTTCACTTAGTAGTGTGCATTTAAAGTTCTTTCATGTCTGCTCTTCATGACTTGCTAGCTCACTTGCTTGCTTATTCATTTATATATTTTTACTTTTTTGTTTTTTTTTGTTTTTGTTTTTGAGACAGAGTCTCACTCCATCGCCCAGGCTGGAGTGCAGTGGCACGATCTCAGCTCACTGCAACCTCCATCTCCTGCGTTCAAACGATTCTCCTGCCTCAGCCTCCCGAGTAGCTGGGATTACAGATGCCACGACATCCAGCTAATTTTTTTATTTTTGTAGAGATGGGGTTTCTCCATGTTGGCTAGGCTGGTCTTGAACTCCTGACCTCAAGTGATCCACTGGCCTTGGCCTCCCAAAGTGTTGGGATTACAGGTGTGAGCCACCATGCCTGGCCTGTTTATTTTTTAGAGACAGGCTCTTGCTGTGTTGCCCATGCTGGAGTGCAGTGGTGTAGTCATTGTTCACTGTAAGCTCAAACTCCTGGCCTCAAGCAGTCCTCCTAGTTTAGCCTCTGGAGTTGTTGGAATTACAGATGTCAGCCACTGCATATGGCTAAGCCTTTTT